>NC_000012.12:68066188-68217703 GCF_000001405.40 Homo sapiens
CTTAGGTGTAGAAGTAATTGTTGGTTTTTTTACCCTCCAAATCTCCTGTTAAATAGAAGTAATTGTTTTATAAATCTGGGTACTTCAATATTTAGTGCATATATATTTAGAATAGTTAAGCCTTCCTGTTGAAATGAACCCTTTATCATTATGTAATGCCCTTCTTTGTCCATTTTTACTGTTGTTGGTTTAAAGTCTATTTTATCTGCTAAAAGAAGACTGACTTTTGCTTTTTGTTTGTTTGTTTGTTTTCCATTTGCATTATAGATCTTTCTCCATCTCTTATTTTGAGCCTATGAGTGTCATTAAATGTAAGATGGATCTCTTCAAGACAGCAGAAGATGGGTTTTGGTTTTTATCCAATTTGCCACTCTATGTCTTTTAAGTGGAGTGCTAAGGCCATTTATGTTCAAGATTAATATTGATATGTGAGGTTTTGTTCCTGTTATAGTGTTGTTGGCCAGCTCCTTTGTAGTCTCAATTATGTACTTGTTTTATAGAGCCCATGGGCTCTGTGCTTGTGTGCCCTTTTGTGGTAGCAAGTATTATTACTTTGTCCCCATGTTCTAATCTCTGTTAAGCATCTCTTGTACGGCTGGTCTGATGGTGACCAATTATCTTAGCAATTGCTTGTCTGCAAAAGATTGTATTTCTCTTTTGTTTGTGAAGCTTAGTTTGGCAGGGTATGGAATTCTTGGCTGGCATTTCTTTATTTTAAGAATGCTGAAAACAGACCCTCAATGTTTTCTGGTTTGTAAGGTTTCTGCTGAGAAGTCTGCTGTTAATCTTATGGGTTTTCCTTTATAGGTAATAATAACCCTTTTATCTGGCTGCTTTTAATATTTTTTCTTTCACACTGATCTTGGATAGTGTGATGACTATGTGCCTTGGGGATGACTGCTTTGTGTAGTATCTCACAGGAGTTCTCTGGATTTTTTCTCTGTGTGCTGACATCTCTAGCAAGATTGGGAAAAATTTTCTGAATTATATCCTAAAACATGTTTTTCAAGGTGCTTACTTTCTGTTCTTCTCTCTCAGGAAGGCCAATAAGTCATAGACTTGGTTGCTTTACATAATCCCATATTTCTTGAAGACTTTGTTCATTTTTTAAATTCTTTTTTCTTTATTTTTGTTGTTGGACTGGGTTAATTCAAAGGTCTGGTCTTCAAGCTCTGAAATTATTTATTTTGCTTGGCCAGTCTGTTGTCAAAGATTTCAATTGTGTTTTCAAACACCATTAGTGAATTTTTCAATTCCAGGGGTTTTATTTGGTTCTTTCTCAATATAGCTATGATATTTTTCAAATCTTGGGTCATTTTTCTGGCTTCTTTGTGTTGGATTTGAACTTTCTCTTGAACCTTGTTGAGTTTCTTTTCCATCCATATACTGAATTCTATATCTGTCATTTTAGACATTTCATTTTCTGGTTAGGATTCATTGCTTGGGAGCTAGTGGGATACTTTGGAGATGATGAAACACTCTTGGCTTTTTGTATTGCAGGAGTTCTTATTATGATTCCTTCTCATCTGAGAGCTGACACTTCTTTTTTTCTTGAATTTGCTATTGTTTGGATGGGGATTTTTTATTTTCTTATTCTTTTTCCGCTAGGGGTATGACTGTGGTGTATATTGTGTATGATTGGTTGGCTTCATTTCTGTGTGCTTTCAGGGGCTAAGGCTCTGTATAGGTTTCTTGGCTGCAGACAGGTTTGTGCAGCGGCTTTCTCAGGCAATGCTTGTAGAGATATAATTTTGTTTTGTGGTGTAATTCAGGCTGCATTCCAGTAGATGGCACTTAAGAGCAAGAGCCTACAGGTAGGGGCAGGAGTGGGGGCAACGGACAAGTGAGAAAGGGCCCTTCTTTAGTATGCATTCATCTTCAGTGGGGGGTGGAGCCTCTGGAGAAGCCCAAGAAGTGGTCTCTTTTGGCCCACACTCCCCAGGCCAGAATGGGAAGAACTTGCTGAATTTGTAACAGTGCACTGAGGAAGAGTGTGGGGAGATGAGAGATGATCCCTTTCCACGTTCATTGCTGGGCTTTTGTGGTATTGCCTTCAACAGCTGGTTCTGCCCTTATTTTCTTTGACCCTAGGGGGGCTTTGGCAGGCTGCACTCCGCACTCCCTTGGAGTGAACCACACTGAGCGTTATGTTTCCAGGGGAGTGAGGCCCACCTCCCTCTCACTCCTCAGAGTTGATGGGGCACTGTCCCCTAACTGACCAGGGGAGCAGGCCAAGGCACCCAGAAATGACACATGCAGACTGGTATCAGGTCACAAAGCTGTCCCTGGCTGAAAGTCTCACTGCCCAGGAGAAACCTAGGCTTCAACAACTCTTCTCCTGCTCCAATACTGCAATGGGAGAGAACCTAATTCCACTTCCTACTGCTGGGGCAATCTCCACACTCACTGCTCAATTCTGGCTGTGGTGGGGGTCCTTGCCCCATTCCAGAGAAAGTACTATGGTCTCTGGCCTAAAACTAAAATAGTTACTGTGGCCACCATTGCCAGGTCACCAAACAATGTCTCTAAACTCTCAAAATGGTGCCAGCTGTGGGCTTGTGACCAAAGAGGGTGAGACCTCTCTCAGATGAGCAGCATGGGTGAGAAGCTGTGAGGAGTGAGGTCTGCTCAAATCTTGGTCTCACAGTAGCTCATAGCAGGGCAATGGGTATTGACCAAGGTATATGTAGGAGAGTCTGGCTTTCCTGCGCCTCCTTGGCTGGGCAGCAGCTACAGCTGCATCAGCCCAAATTCAGGCAGAGGGTGTGGCACAGCTCAGCATTAAACTCTCAAAATGGCAAATATCTTGGGCCTGAGATCGGAGAGAGCAGGGCATCTCTTGGGTGAGTAGCATGAGCAAGATACCATGGGGAATGTGGTCCACTCATGTATCAGTCTCACAGCAGCTTACAGCAGGGCAGCAGGGACCCTCTCAGGGGTGCATGGGCATGCACATTTTCCCCTCTCCCTCCTTGGGGAAATGCAGCAGTGGCTGCAGCCCTGTCCGTAGATCCCCAGTATCTGGGGTCTCAAAATGGCCCAGCTGATGCTGCTCCAGGCTCGGATGCCTGTGGAATTCTGTGTGGATTCCCTTTCTGGAGCAATGTCTCCATGCAATCTTTAGGCAGCTCTATATGTCAGGAACAATGTCCTAGTGGGTCCAAGGTTTCTCCCATAGCCAAGATCACAAAACCCGATTTCAGAGCTTGGGGGATTTCTCTTACTGTTTCCCTGCATCCAGGGGTCTTTCCCAGCTCTTAGTCACTTCCTGCTACGTAAGCTGCCTCAAACCCTCACTTACTTAATTCTGGTGTTTCCCATCTCTTCTCTGGTGAATCCAAGCATTCTCTCCTGTTAGAAATATGAGTATCTACTTAACGATTCTGGCTCTTCTCCATGGAGGAGTCACACACTACCTGTGTGTAGACAGCCATCTTGATCTGTTCTTGTCTTCAAGCCAGCTGATTAGCAACCTTAATTCCATCTGCAACCTTAGTTCTCCCTTGCCCTGGAGCATAACATATTCAGAGGTTTCCAGGATTAGAATGTGGGCACCTTTGGGTTTAGGATTCTGCCTACTGCAATATGTGATGCCAAAGTGGCCCAAATAAGCACCACATTCCGTCACAGAATGAAAGGGCCTATCACCACTGCTTTGCCAGCTCTAGGCATTGTTTTCCTTCATTTTGCCAATTTGTCAAGACAATAATATCACAGATGATCTTTATTTGTACTTATTTGATTACTAATGAGCCTGAGTAACTTTGTTATAGGTGGGAACTTTTTGTTTTGTCTTCTTTGGTGAAGAAAATCCATGACCTTTGCACAATTTTTAAAGGTCTTTTTTGCTTGTTTTTTTTTTTTTTTAAGATTTAAGAGATACTAACTCTGCATATGTGCTATAAATGTGGTTTTTTTTTCAGCTCATTTGTCCCTCAATTCTTTTTATAGTTTTTTTACTACACCAATTTTTAATTATGATTACACAGTCAAATCTGCCAATGATTTTCTTTAGGTTCCTAGTCTTTTTACTCTGTTTGGAAAAATATTCTGTACTCCAAAGAAAGAAAATTTCACTGGACTTTTCAGTGCTCTTGTAAAGAGTTCTAACCTCCTGAAACATAGAAATGTTTATGGTATAAAGATAGGAAATGTTTTCTTTCACTTCACCTAGAAGGATTTCATACCATGACAATTAAATCTGTAGCTGTTTATCTAGTTAATTGCTCTGCTCCAAGAAGGCCAAATGGTTACAGTCTGCACTAGGTCCTTAAGTTACGACTCAAGGTATCCGGAAGATGGGTGCACTGTCTCCCTAAGTATTTACACTTAAAAGGGATGAAATCCAGACTTTGGACACATATCTAGGTGAAAACAGCTGGATCTTTGGTTCTTAGAAGAATACATTTACAATCAGAAGTTAGAGCAAGAACCCAGGATGCCCATCGTATGTGCATTTAAGACGAAATTAATAAAGATGAATATTGAAAACCCAACAGCCACTCCAAAGTTATATGAATATCCTATCTTTTCCTGGTAATTTATAGTTTCATTTGCTACATTTAAATATTGATCCATCTGTGTTTTATTTGGTGTATGGATGGAGTGAAATATAGATTTCGTTTTTTCCTACAAATGGCTCTCCAATGCCATAATGCCATTTCTGAAAATAAATTTTTCCTCTATGATTTGAAGTCTCAGTGGGGTAGGAAGTATGGCAGAGACATCTTAGTTTCATTTTATAATTAGGAAATCCAAGGTCCGGAATGGTTAAATGACGAGTTTATTGAGAAATATTGGTGAGCCAGGACTAAAGTTTTTGTCAAAATCCTCCTTCTCGACACCACACCTCCCCCAGAAAGAGTGTTTTTGTAGTTTCTTTCTGGAAATCAATGAAAATAATCTATAGGGGAAAATGATCATTAAGGCTATATATATAAAGTGATGATTAAGGCTATACATCACACTGTATCATCTTGAACAAAACACAGTATCAGTGGCAATTTCTCCTTACTACAGATTCTCAGAATCAGTTCCAAACTGACTTTGTGTGTTTTTCCTATCAATAGGCTGTCTCTTCCAATAATCTATGGTAAAAGTTTAAGAAATTTGTAAAGATATGAATAAACCACTATGCTTGCTTAAATACCAAATTAAAGAAGAAAACTGGCACTTTTGGAGGCCAAGGCAGGAGGATTGCTTGAGCCCAGGAGCTTGAGACCAGCCCGGGTAAAATAGGGAGAACCCCATCT
Organism: Homo sapiens; assembly: GCF_000001405.40. Lineage (NCBI taxonomy): Eukaryota > Metazoa > Chordata > Mammalia > Primates > Hominidae > Homo > Homo sapiens. The sequence goes on from NC_000012.12 coordinate 68,071,441, forward strand.
TTACAAAAAATAAAAAAATTAGCCAGGCATGCTAGCATGCACCTGTGGTCCCAGCTATTTAGGAGGCTGACACGGAGAATCACCTGGGCCTGGGAGGTCGAGGCTGCAGTGAGCTATGATTGAGCCACTGCACTCCAGCCTGGGCCACCGAGTGAAACCCTATCTCTGAAAAAAAAAAAGAAAAAGAAAAAAAAAGAAAACTGTTGTAACTCTTGTCAAAAACAAAAACTTTGACTTCTTCCATATAAAAAAGTAAGCAATTTTTAAAATAACCTATGAATGACTTTTCTCCAAGGACCATTATTCAAACTACCTAAGAAGATGGAATTTTCTCTGTGACCAACTTCACACAATCACTAGCACCTTATTTTTTTATTTTTAATCTTTAAAAATGTATTTAATACATCAGAGTGACTTGTTTGCATCTTTTCCTGAAGGACCACCTATGCTTTCAACTGAAATGGAAAAAAATATCTTGAAAATGTTTCTGCCTCAAGCTGAACACAAAATTTGTAGGGGGCCACTTAAGGAGCGAAAACTGAGATATGTGTGGACTCAAAACTACCAAAATCTGGGTCACTGGTGATATGAGTTATAGATGTGTGAAGACCACCACCCATTGATACCTCTATTCTGTCTACTTAACTTTAAGTCACAAGTACAGGCATGCTTGAAGAAGTTTTTTTTTCCTTTTCTATTTGTTCAGGAAACATTATAATACATTAAGAAATATTAAAGTAAATGGAAAAAGATACCTGCATACCATCTTTATGATGTCATAAGACTTTTTTTATTTTGTTTTTAACTCATTCAACCAGTATTATTAAATATGTTTTGAGTTTCATATTTGTTATATATTTTATATAGTCAAAATCACAGAATACAAATAAATAAAAATGTTTTACTCATTTTCACTTAACATTACTTTGAACATTACATTTTCCATGTAGTCAGATTTTTTATTTTATCATAAATTCAATGGTGATAAAATAGTCCATTTAGTTATAACATATAATTGGCTTAACTGTTTTCCATTTATGTTAATTTAAATTTCGGTCAGGTTTTTGCTAGTAAAAAAATGCTACAGTATGCATTAAGCATATTGGCCTATATAAATTCTTTTTAAAATAATTAACTTAGAATAAATCTCCAGAACTGATATCAAAGTGTCAAAAGTTCTGCACATTTTTAGGACTCTTACTACCAAATTATTTCCCAAGGATTGCTACCTACTTACGCAGCTTTCAACAAGGTATAAATATACCCATTTCCCTGGATAATAACTGACCTTGGTTTTTAATATTAACTCTCTTGAAATTTTAAAATAATTCTTCATTGTCCAAATTAATTTTTTTTAGTGGCAAATGTGAATGCTTTCTCAAATGCTTATTATCTGAACTTCTTTTTATGTGAATAGTTCGTGTGCCTTTTTTCATGTACCTATTGGGATACCGTTGGAGTTCTTGTAAAGCTGTAAAAACTTTTTACATACCATCGAGTAGAGTTTCTCAACCTTGGCTCTACTGACATTTGGGGCCAGATAATTCTTTATTGTGGTGGGCCGTCCTGTGACTGTGGGATGTTGAGTAGGTCTCTACCTACTTAACTGGCAGCAACCCAAGTAGTGACAACCAAAAATGTCTCCAGACATTGCCAAGTGTCCTCTGGATGCAAAATTGCCCCTGGTAAAGAAGCACTATTATAGATCCCAATAACAATAATAAATAGAAACACTGCCATTGATAATAAAATAATAACTATCAATTAATTGAGTGGTTACTATATGTCAGACAATGTTCTAAGTGCTTTATTATGCATCTCATACCTACAACAATACTACAAGCTAAGTACTATTAGCCTCCCTTTACAAAAGGAGAAACTGAGGTACAGATAAGTACGCATGTTCACATATGTGGTAGAGGCAGGATTTGGACTTAGTGGCCTGACTTCAAATTCCATGCTTCAACCACCATTCCTAGAGCCCTGTTGTTCCCAGTATAGGCTGCCATTTTTGCATTCTATAGAATCCTATTTTTTGTTAGTGTTTACTTTATAAACAATTTTACCTAATAAAAACTGTCCATTTTTTTCATAATTCCTTCTATTGCTTTAAGTCTCTCACAACCATCCATCTCTGTTATATCTTGGAATTACTCTCTTTCTGCTTTAAAAATATTTAAGTTAGACCTCTATTTCAAAATAAGACATAAGAGTAAACGTAAAATTTTTTCTTTATTATATTATTATAAATATAATATTTTAATGTTACATATTTATTATAATAGTTTTTAAAGTTTCCTATAATCTGATTGTATTATATATGTACTATCATAAATTGATAAGAATCTCTATTATATTGCACTAAACACTTAAATACTTTCAGTGTTTATGTTACATTGTTTAAATAATAATAGCATTTGTTATTATCTGTTAGGGCCAGTTTTCTCTTATTCTTCATTTTCTTCAGAATATTCCCTGATGTTTTTCTTCTTTAATTCTCAACACAATTTAAAAACCATTTGGTCTAGTTCTGAAAAGGATGATATTAAAATTTTTTTGACATTAAAGCCATAAACTAACTTGGTTGAAAATTGTCGTCTTTATAAGATTGATTTTTATTATCCAGAAAGTACTGGGTAATTTTACAAAATAAGAAGAATAAAATAATGGTGTTCACCTAACACACAAACTGAAAATAAGTACTAATATTATTCCACCTAAAAATTTAATGTGCATAGTGATTCAGTACATATAAACACCCTGACTTAGGCATCTGAATTCTAAACACTCATTTGAGAGTTGATTTTTTAGACATCAAAATGTTTGCTCTAAAGGAAGAGCATTATATAAATGTTAATTTTGTTCCTGGGTAGCCCACACAAAAACTCTCTTAACATAAGGAAATACCCAAACAGGTCCATTATTCTGTGAAAAGGGCACTCAGTAAAATGGGTATAGTTTGGAGGTTTCCAGAAGTGAAAGTTTCTTCTTGTGACAAAGGGACACTGTGCTTTTATTGCCCCTGAGAATTCCTAAACACTACTGTAACCAGAGGCAGTTTAGATACCTCCAGCCTCCGGCATCAAATCAAAGAGCAAAGTACTATAGCTCTTTTAGACTCTTGGGACCTATTAGAGCAGGACATATGACTGAGGGAAGCTTTTCAAGCCTTCATAAGCCTTTTTAATTACCTCACATTATTTTTCTTAGCCTTTGACTTTTCCCTATTGTTATTAGAATAATCTTTAAAATGAGAGATTTTCATTGGAGCAACTCTGTCCTGCTTTACCAGCATGGTGGGAAGGAGCCAAGGGGCAGGTAAAGAGGCTCTGTAGACTCAGTCAGTGATGTCTCTACCGAGGATGAAAAATTCGATGTGACCTTTGGGGTTGTGGCAAAGATAATGACACTATCCACCTCATAGGAAGGAGGCAATAGCTAAATTAGTTCATTTATGTGAACACCACTTAGGACAGAGCTTGGCACATAACTGGGGCTCTGAAAAGTTAGTTGCAGTTACTTAGGAGTAATCATGATGCTTTGAGAGCAGAAATATCTTCTTGATTTTCCCCCATAAGGTAACCGAAATTAATTTATATCCCTTTTCAGCTGCCTCCCTTACCATTTCTTACATATGGTAACTTTCACTTCTTGTTCTCCAAGGTCTCCAGTGCCTCTCTCTCAATGTTTTATCTAGATATTACATATCTGAGGGACACCTAGTTAGAAAATCCTTAAGAGACAATTTAATATAGATTCACACTTCCTTTTCTATTAATGAAGCATTTTCTTCTATAAAATTATTTGCTGCAATTCTCGAAAGAGTCAAGTAATAGCAAATGTTGCAAAACTTTCCAGAGTGAAATGAAGGCTAGCTTGAAAACTTAACAACCATTTTGTATTTTCTTGGTAAAATGTATCTTGTTACAAGTGATAAAAATGAAATGAGGGAGTTTATGAGAAATTTCTCCCTGACACTGCTACAGTAGTTATTGGCTTCATGGTGTAATACCTGAAATCCTCCTGTCACGGAGCTACTCTGTGTTCTAACTCTATTTCCCTTCCCAGACTGTCCTCCCCACCTCCACTCAGTAATCTTATCTACTAAAGTAAAACCAGAAAAGTAAACTGCAGTGCACCTGGACAGGAATGTGCAAACTTGGGGAAGATTCTTCACTGGGGAGACATGCGGGAGATGCCTTCCTTCCCTCCAGGTGGTCCAGGCCAAGTATTCATAACATCAGGGTTACCTGTTCATGGCCGTGTGTGTGTGTGTGTGTGTGTGTGTGTGTTTAGTCATGAACATTAAGGGGAGCAATTGGAAGCAAGTCCAGAGATTCTTACTCTTGAACTCTCAGTTGCTACACTCCCCGTAGCTCTACTAGAGTCCCCTGGTATTTGGACATGTAGGCTATTTCCTAATTGTTGCTATGCAAATAATGGATATTTTGACTGTAAACTTTTTTCAGCATTTAGGAAAGCTCCCAATCATATTTTCTCAGAATGTGTATCAAAAGATATACATTATAAAAATAAGTTTTATCATGTATATTTAAGGTATGCAACATGAAGGTATAGGATACATATAAGTAGAAAAATGGTTACTATAGTAAAGAAAGTTAACATATACATCATATCACATAGTTACCCTTATTTTTGCAGCAACACCAGCTAAAATCTACTCAGTAAACAAAAATCCTGAATACAAAACAATATTATTAACTACAGTCCTTATGTTGTACATTAGATCTCTAGACTTGCTTATCCTCTGCATCTGCTACTTTGAATACTTTGACCTACATCTCCCATGGCCCCAAGCCCCCAGTCCTTGGTAATCGCTGTTTTATTCTCTATCTCTGTGTGTTTGACTTTTTTAAAAATTTAGGTTTCACATATAAGTGAGATTATATAATTTTTTTTTATTTCTGTGCCTGGCTTGTTTCACCTAGCATAATGTCTTCCAAGTTCATTCATGTTGTAGTAAATGGCAGGATTTCCTCTTTTAAGACTGAATAATATTGTACACACACACACCCATACATCACAGTTTATTCATTTGTCCCTCAGTGGACAGATATTTATTGTGTATAATGTTGCAGTGACCATGAAAATGCAGATATTTTTACAAGGTGGTGATTTTATTTCTTTTGAATGCATACCCAGAAGAAAATTGCTGGGTCATATGGTAGTTCTAATTTTAATTTATGTGGCAACCTATGTACTATTTTTCATGACTGCACCAATCTACACGCCCATCAACAGTTTCCTTTTCTCCATATCCTCACCAACACTTGTTATCTCTCATCTTTTGATAGTAGCCAAAGGGATATACATCTTTAAGGTACTTTTTTATATTATCAACTGGCTTTCTAAGAGAATTGTACCAATACATGTTAAGACAGGATACTTTGGTTTAAGAAGGAAGCAGTGCCAGGCAGGCAAGAGATAAAGCTTATGAACCAAAGGTATAACAGTGGCTACCCTCGAAGCTAAAGTGATTTTGGATGACATTGAGAATATTCACATTCAAAACAAGGAAGATGGACTGAGCGTGGTGGCTCACACCTGCTATCCCAGCACTTTGGGAGGCTGAGGCGGGTGGATCACTTGAGGTCAGGAGTTCGAAACCAGCCTGGCCAACATGGTAAAACCCTGTCTCTACTAAAAATACAAAAAAGTTAACCAGGCATGGTGGCGGGCGCCTGTAATCCCAGATACTTGGGAGGCTGAGGTAGGAGACTCACTTGAACACTGGAGGCGGAGGTTGCAGTGAGCTGAGATCAGGGCACTGCACTCCAGCTTGGGCAACAGAGGGAGACTCTACCAAAAAAAAACACAAAAAAACAAAAAACCACACATGAAAAACAAGGGAGATGATGGATTCATATTGAGGCTGGTCAGATTAGACCCAGGGTGTTAAGTTCAGTATAGGTACTTCATGGATATAAACAAATAACACAAGTAGAGAAAAAAATCTGGATTGAGAGGAAATTTCAAACAATTCTTACTGAGAATTGTTAGCAGAATTGTGGCTTCTTAAGCTGAAGAAGATGGAAGGTAAAATGAATTCAAATGTATCGATATGTCAAGCTCTGTGGTAGTGTTGATGTGTGAAGCTCTGTCACGTCTATTAGCTTATTCATTTTCTATCACCTTATCTCCTTAAAATACCTGGTCTTTTCTGAACACTGGAGCTAAGCAGGATCAGGACTAGCTGGACCTTGATAGGAACTCTCTTTTATAAAAAGCCTGTCTAGAAGAGTGGTTAAGTGCAACTGTGTGGCCATCAGCAAGTTTCTAAGCCTCTTTGCCTCTGTTTCTTCAACTGAAAAGTGGGGATAACATTGGTATCCACTTTATGGGGTTCTTGTTAGAAGTATGTGAAACAATGTATAGACCTGACAAACAGTAATATAGCCAGTAAGAGTTAGCTATTATTTTCATTATCATCATTCTTAACAATTTCAGGAGTTGGCAATCATTATTTCCCTTTATAGTACAGGCTCAGAAAAGTTAAATAAATTCACAAAGTCACATAGCTATTGGAAAGATAAAGCTAGTCATTTGTCCCAAATCTGATTCTGAAATCCAAGGTTTGTGTTGTATTTTTCTTTTCTTTACTTGAAGCTTCATTCTCAGTAGAAGACTTTATAAGTTTCTCTTTATCATAAGGAGAAAAGAAAGATGTTCAAAAGTAGATTGGTCTCTTTGGGGAGTTAGTACGTTCTGCATCACTGTTGGTGTACAGGCAGAGATTAGACGGTGACTTGTTGAGGATATTGCAGAAGATTTATGTAATTGCCTCTAGGGTGTCCTGATTTCCTATTCTCAGCAATGTGTTAGGACAAGGGTTCTATCATACAAATGCACCCTCTTTCCCCTGTTTCAAGGGGAGGCGAAATTTTTGGCCAGCATTGAGGAACAAAGATGAGCATGGCTTCCTTGGGATCTCCAGGAAAATATAAGTCTTTCTCTTTTTATCACTTCCAGGAGTATCCAAGGGAGAGAACACAGTCATGGGTTCTTAGTTTCTGTTTCTGGTTGGGCCAGTAAATCCCCTTCCTCCTCCCTCTTTTTCGCTTATCACTAGAGACAGAAACTAAAAACTATGGCTTCAGGCTGCTGAAAGCCTAAAACAAAACAAAACAGAAGAACAATGAAATAGGGCAGGTTGGATAAGCTTGCATCATTTTTGCATATCATTTATCAAATGAATGAATTAGTTGTACCCAAATGTCCAAGAAACCCTCTGTGTCATGTATAAAAGTCTTAATGGCTCTGAGTCCCATCAGTGCTGCTTCAAGTCCTTCCCCGGTCACTGACTAGTGCTCCAACTCTTACTCCAGGAAGCCGTGGAGGAAGGAGTCTCCCAGTTCTCAGGACCGGTCTTCTGATAAACTTGTTCTCTCTCCAGCTCCTGTCAAGTTTCTCCTGGCTGATTCTCCTGGCTGACTCTGGCTGAATCCTGCCAGGCCAGACAGAGCCATGCTCAGGGAGTGACCATTCTGTGCTCTCAGGAAGCTGCACTATGGCCTGAGGCAGAATGAGGGGAGGGAGGGAATAACCCATTGCACATCATTTTGAAAATGTGCCTGTCGTTTTCATTAGCACCTCCAAGTGACACTACTTGAGCCCAGAATCTCACAAAACCATTACATTAATATAGCATTTTATTGTTCACAACATGTTTCCCAATAAGTCCTCTTTTATTTCTTTTCATCCACACAAATATCATTACAGATGATGTATCCATTGATTATGATTAGGGTGGATACATATACTTAACCAACAGTAGCTTAATCAAAATAGGGTTGTATTTTATCTCATGTGAGAAGGGAGCGGAGGAGTGCGAGCTGTTATGGTAGGTTCATCAACATCAGAGACCCACCCTCCTTTTCTCTCCACTTCATCATTTTTCTTGGGTGGTTTCCATCCTCAAGGTGACTTCAAGGTCACCTTACAATTGCAGGAGTTCTAGCTACTACAATCTTGTTCTGGGTAAGAGGAGGGCTAAAAGAGAAAGACTATTTCCCAGCTGAGTCATTTTTATTTAGAGATTTCCCATTGGCCACTTCTATCTGCAAGGAAGCCTGGGGAGTGCACTTCGTTTGTTTTGTTTTGTTTGTTTGTTTGTTGTTTTAATCTGGACACAAATCTATTTCTGTCAATATAGGGGCTCAAAGCTAAGGAAGTAGGCAAGAATGATTATTGGGTGGGTAAAAAGTAATCTCTGACCAAGGAAATTGGGGCTAATAGCGATTAAATGACTTGGGCAGTGTAATACAGTGAGTTAGTTTCTACATATGTCCTAAGAAATCTTTATGACTCTCTACTGTTGCTACACAACCCTCAGGGACATATTGATACCGTTCCTTAACAACGGAACCCTTCTACACCTTATAGTGGTACAGAATACAACTTGTGCAGTCATAAATGGCAACCTGTCTCTTCCTTTTGCACTTGGCGGAATTTTGTGTGTAATACCTCTCTCCTCTACCACCAAGGAATCCTGCCTTTCACACTGTAACCAGTTGGAGCCTAATATTCATTTCTGCATAATTTACTGGAGGGTTTAGGTCACTGTCCATTTGTTGGGGGTTCTCTTTCTGCTCTGAGGCAATAAGTCCTCTTTAGGTTTCTACATAGTTGGTCAGGGCCTTTCCTGATTAGAAGCCATGGGAAGAGGCCACCATCCTTTTTATCTGGTAACTAGTTGAATAAATGAAATAGTTTGAACTTCAGGCCTATTTTCTTCAATTTGGGTGAAAGAAAGTATATATTAAATACAACTTTTTAAGGGCCTTAGTTGGTTACAAGAATCTATCCATCTTAGGGGTTACAGGGATTTTGCTAATATTAATAAAGCAATATTTTAATTTTCATCTAAGTATAAACAAAAGGAGTTATGTTTAGAGTCATACTTCTAAAAATTAATTTTTTTTGTTTTATAACATAACACTTTAAAAGTAACTAAATGTATTCCTGAAACAGTTGGTACTCTCCTCTTCCCCTAAAAGTTGATGTTAGGGGGAAAAATACTAGTTATTTAAAAATGTGGGTCAGGTGGTCTCTATTATTTGGGGTGTTATGATATTAAGTCATGAATCCAATAAACTAAGATGCTGCTTTCTTGATAAAATAGGATATGAGTATATTTTCACATGCAGAAATCTATTTTTTGAAGATGTGTTCACTGCAGTGTGGTGTCAGGAAATGAAAAAAAACAACAGAGCTTTCCTCAGGTCATCTTAGGGTCTTTCAGTAAACTGAAAGTAACTAAGTTAGAAAGGAATCTCCAGGAGAGGCCAGGGGAGTACCACCAGCCCACCACTACAGAGAATTTCAAAGCTAAGCTACTCACAGAAAACAATGCTCAACCACAGGGCGGATGTGCTGTTTTTCACACCCCAAGTCATTTATCTGAAAAGCAATAGCAGTAAATTCTTGAAGTGTTTGCTGTGATAGGATTGCTCCAGAAGAAAGAAGATAAAGAATGCTAAGTTTCCCCTTCCCATGTTTGCCTCACACACCTGTTTCTCCTAGGCAGATTCTTTAAACCTTTTTTCCTCACTTTTCAACAAGAAACTATAAAATTAAAACAATTATTTTTAATCTTTGGGGGTATTCACTTAATTAATATGTTCACTGTTATATCTATCGTGATAATAGGAGGATCTCCCTGGGAAGTGAACACAATTTCCACATGGGCAAATGACAGAAGTATTAATTAGCTCAACACACCACTAAGGCTTTAACTCTAATAGTCTATTAAGTAAATGCGTAATAAAAGATTCCAAAAAGAGTTAGTTTTCAACAAGAATTAAGCTTCAAAAAGCCAAAGTAATGTAATCAATTAAGATTAAAAAATAACCCAATTAAGTGAAAAAACAAAAATATTCAAATATCCTTCAGAATATTGGCATCACCAAGTTCTCTCTCACTGGTCTCTTACTGTGCCTATAAATTAATGTAAAAAAAAAACCCTTAAGGTCATCCTACACAGGCTTGTTTAGGAAGGACAGAAGTTTGCCCAATTATTTACCAAGTTTGTATAAAACTTAAAACCCACTCAAAATATTTCTGTTGAAAACATACTTGAATGCAAACGTATTGGAAAAAAGTTGTTTGGATTGGCTGTTGAAGCGTAAACTATCACCAGACAGTTTTAGCACCATTCAACTCCTCCTGCAACCACATTGTTGGGTATGGAAATTCTATACATTTGGTTAAATGATTTGCATAATGGAGCAGTATGCAAATACTGGAACTCAGGCCCAGAGCTTAGGTCTCTTGCATTTCCCACACACTTCTCTGAACTCCCGTCAATACCACATAGGATACTGCTTAGTCATACAATGCTCTGTTGTTTGGGCCACCAGGCAGATTGGAAGCTCCATATGTGACAGAGAACATTTTCATATTTACCATGTATCTCCAACATGCCTTTTACAGAACTGGCCATGCTTGCATGCATTTATTCACCCATTTCTTTAACTAATGTGTATCAAGAGCCTATTATGTGCCAGAATCCATTATATATATACTATTCTCACATATTCTCATACACACACACACACACACACACACACATAAATTATACAAGGTCCCTGCTCTGTGAAAGGTCTCTGCTTAAATTTGAATGAGATGAGACGGTAACAAGAAAAATATCAGAGGTGACAAATATGATTTAAAAAACTAAAATAGGATAATATAATACAAAGGAACAAAATGGCTATATTGAATTGGGTGGTCAGAGAATACCTCTCTACGGTGATATCTAGACAGAGATCTGAATGACAAAGGACTTCTTAGTAAACTGAGTTGGCACTTACAAAGGAACCAGTAGAAGCCCTGTGTGGCCAGAGCTTAGTGAGAGAGTAGTATATGCCGGGTTCCCTCTCTCGGCTTTGGATCCCTCCTCTCTCTGTCACTGTACGGGGGAGCTTCTTCCTTCTGCCTTCTCCCTTCTTGCCTATTAAACTCTCCACTCCTTAAGCCCCCCCCCAAAAAAAAGAGAGAGAGGAGTATATGAAATGAGATGGGGGGATAGCAGAAAAAAGAAAAAAGTTCTTAGGGTCTTTGGAACCCACTGTTAGGCATGTAAATTTTATTCTAAATATTCAGAGTTTTAGCCAGGAAAATTAAATATTCTGATTTGCATTATTTTAAATTTGCTAGCTATTGTGTGTGTAATACAGAGTAAAAAAAACAAAGCAGGGAGAGTAATTACTTTATTGCAATAGTGCATGAGAAAGATTTTGTTATTTGGATGAGGGCAGTGTTAATGGAGACAGAGAAAAATAGATTAAGAAGTTGTTTTGCAGGTATAGTCAAGATTTGCTAATGAATCTGTTGTGAAGCACATTAGTCCACTTTCATATTGCTATGAAGAAATACCTGAGACTTGGTGATTTATAAAGAAAAAGAGATTTAATGGACTCACAGTTTCACATGGCTGGGGAGGCCTCACAATCATGGTGGAAGGCGAAGGAAGAGCAAAGCCATGTCTTACATGGCAGCATGCAAGAGAGCATGTGCAGGGAGCTGCCCTTTATGAAACCATCAGATCTCATGAGACTTATTCACTATTATGAGAATCGCATGGGAAAAACCTGCCCCCATGATTCAATTACCTCCTACCAGGTCCCTCCCATGACAAATGTGGATTATGGGAGCTATAATTCCAGATGAGATTTGGGTGGGGAAACAGCCAAACCATATAATTCCATTTCTGGCTCCTCCCAAATCTCATGTCTTCACATTTCAAAACACAATTATGCCCTTCCAACAGTCCCCCAAAGTCTTAATTCATTCCAGAATTCTCAAAAGTCCAAGTTCAAAGTCTCATCTGAGACAAGGCAAGTCCCTTCTGCCTATGAGCCTGCAAAAATCAAAAGCAAGTTAGCTACTTCCTAGATACAATGGGGGTGCAGTCATTGGGAAAATAGGCCCATTTTAAATGGGAGAAATTGGCCAAAGCAAAGGAGCTACAGGCCCCATGCAAGTCCAAAATCCAACAGGGCAGTCATTAAACTTTAAAGTTCCAAAATGATCTCCTTTGACTCCATGTCTCACATCCAGGTCATGCTTATGCAAGAGGTAGGCACTCATGACCTTGGGGAGCTCTGCTTCTGCGGCTTTGCAGGGTATAGCCCCCTCTCCTAACTGCTTTCATGGGCTGGCATTGAGTGCCTGCAGCTTTCCCAGGCACATTGTGCAAGCTGTCGGTGGATCTACCATTCTGGGGTCTGGAGGATGGTGGCCCTCTTCTCACAGCTCCACTAGGCAGTGCCCCTGTGGGGACTCTGTGTGGGAGCTCCAACCACACATTTTCCTTCCACACTGCCCTAGCAGAGGTTCTCCATGAGGGCTCTGCCCCTGCAGAAAACTTCTGCCTGGACATCCAGACATTTCCATACATCCTCTGAAATCTAGGCAGATATTCCAAACCTCAATTCTTGTCTTCTGTGCATCTGCAGGCCCAACACCATATGAAAGCTGCCAAGGTTTTGGGATTGCACCCTCTGAAGCAACAGCCTAAGCTGTAGGTTGGCCCCTTTTAGCCACGGCTGGGACACAGGGCACCAAGTCCCGAGACTACACAAAGCAGCAAGGCCCTGGGCCTAGCCCATGAAACAATTTTTTCCACCTAGGCCTCCTGGCTTATGATGGGAGGGGCTGCCGTGAAGGTCTCTGACATGCCCTGGAGACATTTTTCCCATTGTCTTGGTGATTAACATTTGGATACTTGTTACTTATGAAAATTTCTGCAGCCAGCTTGAATTTCTCCTCAGAAAATGGGTTTTTCTTTTCTATCACATTGTCAGGCTGCAAATTTTCTGAACTTTTATGCTCTGCTTCCCTTTTAAACATAAGTTCCAATTCCAAACTATATATTTGTTTATGCATAAAATCTAATGATTTTAAGAGCACACATATTGGATGCTTTGCTGATTAGAAATTTCTTCTGCCAGATACCCTAAATAACCTCTTACAAGTTCAAAGTTCCACAGATCTCTAGGGCAAGGCAAAATGCCACCAGTCTCTTTACTAAAGCATAGCAAGAATCACCTTTGCTCCGGTTCCCAATAAATTCCTCATCTCCATCTGAGACCACCTCAGCCTGGACTTCATTGTCCATATCACTACCAGCATTTTGGCCAAAACCATTCAACAAGTCTCTAAAAAGCCCCAAACTTCCCCACATCTTCCTGTCTTCTTTGGAGCCCTCCAAACTGTTCCCACCTCTGCCTGTTATCCAGTTCCAAAGTCACTTCCACATTTTTGGGTATCTTAATAGCAGTACCCTACTCTACTACTACCAATTTACTTATTAATCCATTTTCATACTGCTGTAAAGAAATACCCGAGACTGGATAATTTATAAAGAAAAAGAGATTTAATGGACTCACAGTTTCACATGGCTGGGGAGCCTTACAACCATGGCAGAAGGCGAAAGAGGAGCAAAGGCATGTCTTATGTGGCGACAGGCAAGAGAACATTTGCAGGGGAACTGCCCTTTATGAAACCATCAGATCTCTTGAGACTTATTTACCAACACGAGAACAGCATGGAAAAAACCTGCCCCCGTGATTCAGTTACCTCCCACTGGCTCCTCCCCACAACATGTGGGGATTGTGGGAGCTACAATTCAAGATGAGATTTGGGTGAGGACAGAGCCAAACCATGTCACGCAGTAATAATGAAAAGAAGGAAAGCAAGAATTGCCTAGATTGTTGGCTTAAGCAATTAATAAATAATGATGACTTTGACTGAGCTGGGAATGAGGAAGGGGTGTGCAGAAGGTGAGGGTGGACAGAGAATCCAGAATTCTCTTTAGTTTGAGATGCTAAATGAAGACATCCAGGTTGAAAGGTCAACTAGGCAGTTGAATATAGAGTCCCTAAAATAGGACTCACTGGTCCCTACATGGTATCTGATACCATGGCATTGCATGAGATGACATCTAAGAGTTAGATGGATAAGCTAAGAGGGGCCCTGCCTGTTTACATTAGTTATTAGCAGATGAGAAGGCTAAACAAATAAGAGAGCAGAGCAATACATTTTCATGGCATACATATCAGAAAGTAGAGAATAAGTATCAGATTCCCTTCCGTGTTTTAGCAGAAAAGGATACTAATTGGCAAGTGTCAATTTGATATTGTCACCAAGTCATTCAAAAGAATAGAAACCTCTAACTGAAGTTACTGAGTACTGGAAGGATGAACATTGTATATTCATTGGATTTCTGTTTTAGAAAATATTGTATGTGTTTCACATATTTTACAAACTGACCTGTGAATGGTTACATTATTCTTATATAGAAAATTGAAATTACATCTGCCTAAGACTGCTCTGTAATTCTCCTGACTTATGAAATACAAGAATAAAAAAAGCTCACTGGCATTTCATCATGGTTCCCTTTAATAACTTTTATTTGTAATAAATATACAAATAAAACTGGAAGACAATGGGGTGGTATAATGGAGTTTCCTAGGAGGTAAGTAGGGAAGTAAAATGCTTTTTCTTAAAAAGCATATTTTCTAATTACATAAGAACATAACATTGTGATTCTCAAACAATCAAATATAAAGCTAAAAGCCTACCTTGACAGCAACCCCTCCACTCAATCTCAGGCTTGTCCTTGTAAATAACCATTTTACTACTTTTGTGTGAATCCCTTGAGTCTTTAGCCCCCTCAAGTGTGTGCTTGTGTGCATGTTCAGGTGCACATATGTATGTAAGTGTGTGTGTGCATATGTGTGTGCATGTGCGCAGGGTAGGAGAGGTGTCTGTGTGTGTGTGTGTGTGTGTGTGTGTGTGTGCAACAGATGCTTTTGCTGCCCTTTCCAGATTCCTTTTTCTACTGCTCCTAGACTCTTGGCACTTCCCCTTTCCCTGGAGAATTGCCCCTGGCAAGAGGGAGCTGTGACTACTCCCTTGCTCTCCTGGGAGAAGGAGGCAGGACACACTTGGTCAATAATGGGCTGACACAGGGATACAAAATGGCCTCAAGGCAGGACCCACTCCGGTGCAATTTGTGCTCCAGATCACCCCTACAAGATCAGACTCAGCAGGTCTCCAGCTCAGACCACGTTCTTGCTTAGCAATCTTCCCTTGTCCTGCCCTCTTCTCTTGTGCCCCTTGTCATGAAAGCACTTTCCCAATAAATCACTTGAGCCAGAATCACCATCTCAGACTCGAATTCCTTGGAACTCAGTTAAGTGTTTCTACATATTTATATAATGTGTATAAAAATAAATTTTATACAGATGTTAACATAATGTGTATGCTATTAGGAAGTTTTCTTAACAGTTTTCTTGGAAAGATTTTGTATCCATATGCACAGATTTATTACATTGTTTTTGACTGCAGTACAGTATTACTTTGTAGTGAAATAGAGAGGGTTTATCAAACATAAAAAATGTTCCAAGGAGGTAAATAAATGTAATTGCTGTTGATTACATTTCCTTGATTACCAGAAGAAGTAAAGTCATCTTGTAGGTTTATAGTCTATTTATAACTCCTCTTCTGTGAATTATTTTCATACCTTTTGCCTATTTTTCAATTGGACTGTTTATCTTTTCCTTATTTATTATCATTGGTTCTTTATAAATTCTGAATATTGTTCATTTGCCCTTAGTAAAAAAAGTATGCTGCATATACTTTTTCCTAGTTATCGCTGTCCTTTATATGTGTTTTGATGGTCTTTTGTTATTCAGAAGTTTGATAATATGTTGAATTGTTGTGGGCTTTTTTGTGTACTTCAAAAGTTCCATAGTTTGTTGACTATAAAATAGCTTTTATATTTTATACTTTATGCATTTCTAAATTTACTTTGAGAAAACCATATTCACCACAGTCATAAATAAATCCTCCTATATTTTTTTCTAATATATTATAGTTTTGTTTTTCATAGTTATTACTTTAATCCATCTAGATTACTTTTGGGTTAATAGCATTAGCTATCGGTATAACTTTATTGTTTTTGCCACGATGTATAGTTAGAGTCTCTTATACATGGGCTCATTCCTGGATTCTCAATCCTGTCCTATTCATCTTATTGGACTTTTCCTACTCTGATATTATATATTACTGTAGATTTATTAATAATTTGATTCCTTGTGGGGCATGATCACCATATTGGTTGATTTTGTTTGCTTATTTTTTAATTTGCTTGGTTGGCTATCATTGCACATTTACTCTTTCATATGAACTTTATAATCAGCAGGTAAAATTCCATGAAATTTCCTTTCAAGATTTTGATTGGGATTGTATTGAATTCATAATGTAACCAGAGAGAAGTGACATCTTAAAAATCCTGAGTCTTTCCATGCTCAAATATTGTATATGTTTACTTATTTTTTGATATGTCAGGTTTTCTTTTACACTCTTCAGGAAATTTTAATTCATTTTCTGTAAATACCTTGAATATTCCTTATTGGGTTTATTCCTAGGCATTTCACAATTTTTGTAATAATAAACACAATGTTTTGAATACATTTTTAGTTGATCATTGCTGGTATTTTAATAAGCTGTTGATTTTTATATTTTGAACCCCACCCCTTCCTAATCTCCCTAGGAAGTTCTAATAATTTTTATTGGTTTTCTCGAAAATTCTACATAGGCTGTTATGCATGTTATGTAAATAACAATGTTTTGTGTCTTTCTTGATAATAATTGTATCTAATGTCTATTTTTATTTTGGTATTACACTTTATTAGCCCTCTAGTATAGCAGCAAGCAGTAACTCTGTGATACAAGACATCTTGACATTGTTTCTAACAATGAAATGCTTTGAATGTGGCACCACTAAGCATAATTCTTATTATAGATTTTTAGTGTACCTTAACTTTTTTTCTATTTCTAGTTTTCTAAGAACATTTCTTTCAAAAATAGAAGGAATGTTGAAGTTTATTAAATGCTTGTTGGGTATAACTTAAAATAGTTTTTCTTCTTCCATCTGGTTAACATAAGGTATTTCACTAGTAAACTTTTCTTCACTGGTCAAAATAATTAAATTAATTTATTAATCCATCAGCAATTTTTTCAGGAACTTAATGTGGCTCTTATGACCTATTTAAGTGGTTAACCAAAATATTGTATTTCCAAAATGGTAAATAATTATCTAGTCCATCTAAATGTTTATGTATGGATGACTACTGGCCTTTTCTTCTTTATTGTCCCATAAATGTTTTCCAAATCTTTACTTTGGAATAGGTACACAGCTTATTACAGAAAATAATTTTCCTATAGACAAGCAATAGGAAAGATAGCTCATTAGTTAACATTTTACCTTAAAATTTTTATTTTTAGACTACCCATAAATTCATCGCAAATAACTATAAATTGTATTAACTTATTTAAATAAAGCTAATGAGTAATAACACTTAAAAGAAGCATAAACATTTTGCTTATCATATTGAAGATAGCAGGTAACTGTAAGAGAGGATTAATTTCAAGATCAATTATAAGTCTACATTTTCAGCAGCTTAGCTTGTAGAAATTCACAAGTCCTATACCTGATAAAAGATTACCAATCCCACCCAAATAAGTTGTTGTCTGAAGTATTACTGTTGGAATGCCTGCCAGCCAAACTGGGATATTCCTTTATTCCCCAATCAGCCTATTGTTCCTTCGTTTCAGATTTTCTTTGTGAGAAACAATTCTTTACTTTTTGAAATGCATTCTTTAGACATTTACTTAAGCATGATCTATTGATGGTAAATTCTCTCAGCTTTTCCTGAAAATGCCTTTATTTCACCTTAATTCTAAAAACGTAGTTTTGCTTTCTTTTTTGCAGCCCTTTAAAGACATCCCTCCATTTCTTCTGGCTTTCACTGTTGCTCATGTGAAGTCAGCTGTACATCTTATTGTTTGTTATTTATAGGTAATTTGTCTTTTTTTTCTGTGTGCCTTGAAGATATTTATTGTAAACATTGGAAATTCTGGGCTCAGACTTTAGACCCCTTCTCTTTTCACTCCCTATTTTAGATATCTCAGCCATAGCTATAAATAGTACTTACATAACGATGACTCCCAAAATTATATCTCCAATCCAGACCTCTATCCCTAGTTCCAGACTGGCATACCCAACTGTCTACTGAGCAGCTCTTCTTAAAATGTTTCAAAAGTAACACATTCAAATCTGATCTCATGATTTTCACCACTTTACCTAAACATGTTCCTCTGGCAGTTTTCCCCAACTCAGTAAATAATATCACTATTTTTCCATTATCTTAGAACAAAAAGTAATCACTTTGCTTAGACATCACATTTAGTTCCTCAGAAAATTCAGTTCTATATTCAAAATTTATATAAAATTCAATCACCTCTTACCACTCCCACTGCTCTAAGCTATCATTTTCTTTTGATTGGCTTACTACAATGTATTTCTTGTTCTCCCTGCTTTTATACTTGGCTTCTCTCCAATTAGTCTATTCTCAACATAGTAACCAGAAAGATGCTATTATCTGTCAATCAGATTACAACACTTACCTGCTTAAAAGCCTCCAAAGATTTTTGCCCTTTGCTCTGAGTAAAAGCCAAATTAAATTCAATGGCTTGGAAGGCATTTACATGATCTGGCATCCTCTACCTGCCTGATTTAATCCCTTATTACTTTTTACCTTAATCACTTGATCTAGCCACACTGATGTCCTTGCTATTCATCCAGCACATGAAGCATATTTATGCCTTGGGTTTTTGCATTACATTTGTCCCTCAGATAATCACATGGCTCACTCCCTCATTGGGTCTTCTTGATTTTCAGATTCTCAGGAAGACTTTCCCAGACAGCCATATTTAGAATTACAACTACTTCCAGCATTCCCTACCTCTTTTATCTGCTAAAGATTTTGTACAGCATTTGTCACCATCAGATAACATATATATTTTAATTATTTATTTATTCACTGCCTTATTGCTCCTCCCTCCTTCTGCCCCTTAGAATGTAAATTCTGTGCAGGCACAGTTTTGTTTTGTTTCTTCCTTCTGTCTTTTCATTATTGTATCCTTAATGCTATAAAGTTGCCTGGCACATAGCAAGTGTCCAGCTCCATAAATATTTGTTGAATGAATGAATATAGGGTGTTTTGCAGTTTCTCTATAATGTGTCCTATTATGGACTTTATAAACTTAATCCTTCTTCAGATTACTGAATGTAAATCTGCATTTTATCAAGATTACTAAATGATTCATATGCACATTTAAATTTGAAAAGCACTTCTGTAAGATATATTTCTATGAGTATAATTGCTGGGTCATAGAATATACCTACCTTTACAATATAATATGGAATTATTTTTTCAAAGAGATTGTGCCCCTTCCTCCAATAATGTGTTAATACTCATTCCCTCTTACTACCATCATACTTCTTAATTTTTTGTCAAATTAGTAGGTATAAAATAATATCTCACTATAGTTGTAATTTGCTTTTTCAGATTATTGATGAGGTTAAACACTCATTTTTTCATAGGTTTATTCATAGGTTTTTGATAGGTATCTTCTTTTGTAAAACATCTACTTTACTCTTGTGCCCCTTTACTATCTGGATAGTTATTTTCTTACCAATTTTAGTAACTTGTATTTGAGATGTTAATACTTTGTTGGTAATACAGTAGCTAGCAGCTGTTGCCCAGTTATAGTCTCTTCTTTTACTTTCTTTGTGGACTCTTTGAGGAATAGAAGTTCATAATTTTAATATCATCGAACATGTAATTCTATTCTTTAATATGTAATGCTTTGTTTTACAAATATGATATTTGATTTAATAAATTATTCCATACCACAAGGTGATAAAAGTTTCTCCTACATTTTCTTCTGAAAGCTTAAAACACTGTTTTTCACATTTAAGTCTTTAATTCCTCTAAAATAGAATTTTATATGTATAGTGTGAGCTAGAAGTCCAATTTCTCATTTAAGCAATTTTTCCAGCACCGTTTATTGAATAGTTCCACCTCTTTCAAATGATCTGAAATGCCAGCTCCATACTATATCAAGTTTCTATAAGTGCTTAGGTTTATTGCTGAACTCTCTATTCTCTGCCATGAGCCTTTTTGTTTTGCCATACACAGATACCACACTATCTTAATTACTATATATTTATAAGTCATGATCTGTTATAGGACAAGATCCTCCAGCTAGCTGATGTTCTTCAGCAGCGTTTGATTTTTCTTGGCCCTAGATTGTCATATTTATTTTAGAATTTGTCCGTCAAGATCCATTTTAAAAGAAACAACAACAACAACAACAACAAAACCCTGTTGGGCTATTGATTGAAATGTCATTGATTCTATAGACTAATTAGGGAAGGAATGACAACTTTAAAACACTGAGTCTTTTTGTTTATAAGCATTTAAGAACACTGTATATTTCTCCATTTATTTGGCTTCTTTTAACGTCTTTCAATATGTGGCTTTATGATTCTCTGTGTCTTTTTGTAACAGACTTTCAGATGGTCTCCATCCTCTAGATTTCGTGTGCTTGTCTTTCCTACTCATGAATATCCAGTCAATTTTTCTAAAGTGAATTTTACCACATTAACTCCAGGTTCAAAAATCTGTGGTAACTTCCTGTTGCCTATGGGATCAAATACGAGCTTCGCAGGCTGGGATTTAAATGGTTCTGTTTCACCAGCCAACTTCATGTCTTGCTAGGGCTCTACTCCATTTGTTTATTTAGGGCAGTATTACAGCATAGAGGTAAAGAGCTCATTTAGGTAACAGAATCTAAATAAAATTAGAGTCAAGCCCTGACTCCATCACTTACTGGCTTATGGCTTAGACTGAGGGACTTAGTCTACCGGCTCTTCCACTATAAAACAAAGAAAACATGCATACTCACAGCATAAGGCTCTTGTAAAGAATAAATGAGACAGTGCATGTAAGTCATGTAGCACTTGTGATTTGCTAGCATGAATTGCTATTGTTGTGTTAGTATTATTATTAACATATTAAAAACATAATAGAATGTCTTCTCTGAGTGAATAACCATCATCATACCTATGTTTAACTCTTTTTTGCCTATTAAAATGCCCTCCTAAAAGTGGATTTTTGAATGCTAAGCAGGATCTGGATGAGGAAATAGAGATATTCTAGGTAGGCTTTTCCCCCATGCTGGACTGGAGGTGAAGAGAAGAAACTGAGAAGAGGAGGGCCTAGGGTGTACAGACTAAGCTAGCTTATGATTGATCCCTGACATGTAAGCAGCCAGCCGTCCAAAATCATAATTACAAAGGGGCATGTATGACAAACACAGATGAAGTTTAAGCTGACCTTGACATACAAGAGAAGCCAAGAGCAATCCATTTGTCAGAAGAGAAGAGGGTTCACCTGGTAGTCATAGTGCTCAGAGCCAGGTGAGTGTCAAGAATGCTGTTCCAGGGTCTGCCTGGTTTAAAAGTACTCTGACCAGTGTTGAGGGGCTGAGGATGGCCAGACAGGTTGTCAAGCTTCATTCTAAGCATGAGTGGGTTCA
Organism: Homo sapiens; assembly: GCF_000001405.40. Classification (NCBI taxonomy): domain Eukaryota; kingdom Metazoa; phylum Chordata; class Mammalia; order Primates; family Hominidae; genus Homo; species Homo sapiens. Next base: position 68,092,918 of record NC_000012.12, read on the forward strand.
GAATAGAGCTCCCAAATAGGAAACTGAAGTACCAATACTATTTTAAAATGGGAATAGCACCACCCTTCAGATCTGACAACTCCAGCAGGGGTAGATAAGAGACGGTAGCTTCTGTCTGTGCCAAAGCTGGTCATTCACTTGCTTAGCATTTGGCTTATAATAAAAAGGTCAGTGAAGTCCTAACACTGTTTTATTTTTAGTTTCACCTTAGGAACATAGTATTTACTCTTTATCTTGATGATACAATGCAGGTGACACATCACATGGAATGACACTATGTATGATGTGTAAGAGTTGGTCAGACAATGGTCTGCCCGGGAAATCTGACCATACATAACAAGAATTCCCACCAGAGGTAAACCTGAATCCATAACTAGGGAAGGAGGGCTCACAAGAACTAATGATGGCCCTAGAGTTCTGGTCTTTTTAGAGATTTATGGTTGGTGGACTGCCAGTCATAGCAAAGGGCCCTGAGCCACCAGACAGGGAGACAAGCAGACCAGGATCGAGGAAGAAGCTTAAGTCTGCATTCTGGACCCACTTAAGAGCAAGCTAGGTAAACCCCTGACTCAAAGACTGACAGCATCTATGGCTCACATCAGACACAGTGAATATTGGGTCTGGTTAGTGAAGTAGAAACATTTTCACTCCTTAGATAATGATGTCACTGGGCTTGACATTTAGGATGCTATCAATTAACCAAATATTTATAGCTATAAAGGAAAGAAGATAAAAATTTTAAGTAAGTGGTGCTGAGTGGAGAACCATTTATTTGTTTGCTTTTTCTCTGTTTGTGTTAAGATAAAGGAGCCTGGAGCATGTGTGGAGGGTCAGGAGAATGATCCATGGAGGATCCTGAGGAAGCCAGAAACGGGGCTGAGCACAGATAGGATGATAAGCCCTCAACAGAAGGGAAGAAACCTCAGTGCCACAAGGGTGAATTTAGCATCACTTCATAAATCAGAATGGTCACTAGGACTAGGGATATACAGCAGCTGAGGGAGAATTGCAGCCAGCGTTCTGTTAATACAATGGTGGTGTTCTATCCTGAGCCTGGACAATGACAATTTCTCCTATTTGTCTGGGAATCATGATACTAAAACTCACCTGACATGGAATTTTGGTTCTTAGATGGTACTTGAAAAACAGAGGAGTTTCATATTATTTCTGCAAAGATGTCAGAAAATGAGTCCAGATCAATGGCCTAACCCTCAACAACTGGGATCAGGGATTTCCCTTCTCCACCTTATTTTGACCATTTATCAGTGATATGATAAGCCTCAACCCTCACCAAAAATGTTTTTAATGAGGTTTTAAAAGTCTCACTGGGACTTTGATTTTCTTCTTATTTTACCTGGCCTCATATTATTTCAATGACAGCAACTCAGTGGTGATAGCTGGGGTAGTGGTTGGTAATTTTTCCCTCTTGCAACTGAAGGCCAAAGTGCTGTGGTGGGACCCAGCTGAGAAGTTTGCTTCCTGTCAGTGCACAGTTTGCTACAAGCAACTCTTTCTTTGGGCTGCCAGGGGCTGTGGTCTGAATTATGTGACACTAGCATTCAATTACGGTAAAATGTCTTTTTAATAACTGACATTTCCAGTAAACTTGTTGTGGGTTCGATGTGCTTTGAGGCTAATTAGAAAAGTTTCAGAGGATGCTAACAAATATTTTACTGACAAATAGTTTATACTCCTCCTCTGATTTATTCTGAGCTAAAATATCAAGGGTTCTCCTTAGAGCTGCTGAAGATATCACCAGAGTATGTAAAAATTTAGTGTTCGTAACCTGGGAGTTGAAGTTAGCAATATTTCCGTCAGCGAGAAATGATGTTAGCTGCTGAGTTCAGGTCCAAAGAGACATCTGTAAAGTCTTCTTAGGTTTCCCCTGGTCTGGTAACAAATATGCATCTCTCATGTTTATCCTCATTTTAACCAAACCACAGTGGTTCCAAGCAACACTCTGCGGTCCAGTCATCAGTGGAGCTCAGAGGCAAACAGAATTCTGAGCATTCTCCATTTGGTGTAATCAATGTGATCTTTTTTTTTGAGAACTAATGTTAAGTTTTTCCACAAACTTATTAGGTTCTTGCTCTAGGCACTCATCTATTTACCAAAATAATTAGGAATATGCATCTTATAAACTGACTTTTCTTGGCTAGAAGTCTGAACCATTTCTATTAAATATTTTGGAGATGGGAAAAGTAATTTCTTCTCCTTCTTCTAGTTTTGGTGGAATCAGTCAAGGAACAAAGATTAAGTCAGAACCACCCACAGGAACCCACGAGCCTCTGTTTCAAAAAGTCAAGTGTCAAGCTGTAAAGATTTGTTGGGGAAATTCAACAAAAGCTCATACATTTTTTTCTATTCTTCAGAGAAGTAGAGCTGATAACATGAAATGAAAAGTCCAATTGATGCATAAACTTTGTGGTTAAATCTGCGGAGTTTTAATATTGTGGTCTGATCTGTTGGGAATAGCATATTATATCATAAATCACTGTACAGCTCATCGTCAAACTCACTGTTTCATTTAATGCTCAAACATCCCTTTAAGGTAAGGTAGGCATGTATTGCTAACCCCTTGCCCAGATAGGAAAAAAATTTTGGAGAGTTTAGTGACTAGACCAAGGCCAAACAACTAGTAACTGTTAGAAGTAGCTTGTCCAATCTCATCTGAGTATACCAAAGATGAGAAATGCAGCCTTAGAGCATTTAATACATAAAATTTGCAAAAACTTGAAATGTGTTTTTGGTGAAGTATCTTTTGTATGCAAAAACAATCACCTACATCTAATCTCTTAAAAGTACAGGCTATACCGGCCTATGCTCCACGTAGCTATACAGCTAGACTTAGTCTACTCTAACAGAGCTTCAGCCCTTACACTACATTGAAATGGTCCTCAAAAAAGTCTGTGACAATCTTCTTGTAGTATAATCCAATGAAAACTTTTCTGATCTTACCTTACTTGAACTCTTAGTGCCATCTGTCATTCTTCATTTATGAAATTCTGTTCTTCCTTGGCACCATTGTCTTTGAGTTTTCTCAGGACAGGCAACCTGGGGCAATTGAAATGTTACTGAATTTAGGATACTACATGCATTTGGGTTACAATTCCAGCTCTGCTACTTACTAGTCTGGGATCTTGAGGCATTAATCTTGACAACTTTCAATAAAAATAATTAATATTACCAACATTATAGGGCAGTTTGGGGATTAGGGATAATGCAAGAAAAGCATCTCATGCTCAGCCCATTCAAAGACATTCAATGGATGGACACTCCTTCTCTGCCTGTTTCATTGGACTCTTCTTTTTTAATAAACACCTAGTTATCAATAACAACAGGGTCCTGATATATGTTGAACCTCTCCCTTTTCACTCTGTACCAGAGCTGTCCAATAGGACTTTCTTTGATGATGTTCTATAATCTGTGCTGTCCCATATGGTAGCTGCAAGCCATATGCAGTCTTTGAGCTCTTGAAATGTGGCTTGTGCAGCTGAGGAGCTGAATTTTTAATTTTATTTCAGTTTAATTAACTCATGGTTAAATTGGAATAGCCACATGCAACTAGTGGCTGCTGTATTGGAGAGCACAGCTAAGCTACTACTTGAGCACAGCTACTTTCTCTTGTAGCTTTATCCCAAACCATGGCTTCAGCTGCCACTCATACCCAAAGGGTTCCCAGCTTTATATTCCAGCCTTGATTTCCACTGCCAATTAGCTAGTACTGGGTATCCCACAGGTGATTGTAATTCATCCTGTTCAGACCTGAACTCAGCATGTTTTCTTTAAACTTGCCCATCCTTCTAGGTCCTTATCCCAATGAATAGAACTATAGTCCACTTACATGTCCATGAACCTGGAGTTACCTTAGATAGTCCCTTTCTCTACCCAACCTCCGTGTATAATCAACCTACAATCTTTTGTACCTGTTACATACTCTTTTCTCTCAACCTGTGCTATCATAGGCTTCACACAAGCTCTCATTACCTCTCACCTGAGATAATATGATGGAGATCTAATTTGTTGACCTGCTTCTAGTCACTCCTCTCACCCTAGCCTCAACCATCTTCCATTTGGCTGCCAGAGAGTTTGCTCACTGGTTTGTTTTTGTTTCACACCTGCTCAGAATCTTTCAGTGGTTCTCAAACATCTAAGGAGATTCACAATGGCCTGCCTTCTGCCTAGCTCTCCAGGCTAATGTACCATGACACAGCCTGTGCTCTAGTTATCGAGATCTTTTTGCCATTCCTGGAGCACATCAAATTCTCTTACATCTTTATTCTTTCACACAGGCTCTTTCACCTTACTACCTACACACACCAAGGCATGTACACAAACCACAGAGAATGCCTATGCACAAATAACTAAAAGTAGGCTGTAAAACTTCCTCGCTATGAGAAAACACACAAAAGAAAATAGAGAAAACACCAACAGAGCAAAATATTTCAAAAGAAAACATATACAGCAGTCCCCCCTTATCCATGGCTTTATTTTCCAAGGTTTCACCTACTGGGTCAACCTAGGTCCAAAAATATTAAATGGAAAATTCCAGAAATAAGTAATTCCTAAGTTTTCAATTGAACACCATTCTGAGTAGTGTGATGAAATCTTATACCATCCTGCTTCATCCTGCTCTATCTTGCCTGGAACATGAATCATCCCTTTGTCCAGCATAGTCATGTTTGATACGCTACCCACCCTCTACAATGTGATTGTATAGGAGAAACGATAGTACAGTATATATAGAGTTCAGTATTATAAGCAGTTTCAGACATCCATTGGGGATCCTGGAATGTATCCCCTGTGGAAAAGGGGTGACTACTGTAATAAAACAATTTAAGATGATATAAGAGAAACCAAACATGTATGTCAGATAAATAAAAGTCAGACACATTCACTTCTTTAAAGGACTCTAATTGGATTTTAAGAAGTCTAAACTCAAAAAAGTGATATAATATGTAAGAAAAGTTACTCAAAAAATTGGAAGTATCATTTCCATCCTTTTAGGATGGGAAAATACAGTAAGCAAATGAAAATAAAAGTAAAGCAGGGGTCAGGATATTAAGGATATTAATGTTAGGCATGGTTGAATTCGAGGAATAGAACTTTATGGTAATAATAAGTAAATGCAACCCACAATGAAATTCTGAGCCTAATGCATCTACATCAAATAGCATCACATCTACATTCTTAAAGCAAAAATTATTAAAATATAAGGAAAAATAGAGAGACAGTAGCCATAAATAAGTTTAATTTATCTCTCTGTCTTTGATAACTCAAATAAACCAAAAATAAGAAAAGACATAGAGGACTTAACATAATTAAGAAGGTAGATCCTCACATGGAAAAATATATACCTCCCTTTCAAGCTCCTTTCATCTACAAAGTTTGGCCATGTCTTATTAGGCTACATATTAGTTGCCTAGGGCTGTCATAACAAAGAATCACAAGCTATGTGGCTTCAACCAATAGAAATTTATTCTCTCAGTGTCAGCAGGGCCGTGCTCTCTCTGAAGGCTCTAGAGGAGGACCCTTCCTTGCCTCTTCCTGGCTTCCGGTGATTGCCAGGAATCCTGGGCCTTCCTCGGTTTGTGGATACATCACTAGAATCTCTGTCTCTATTGTCACATAGTGTTTGCTGTGTGTATCTCTGTGTCCAAGTTTCCCTTTTCTTAAAAGAACACCAGTTATTGGATTAGACTAGTTATTAAATCCAATCCAGTATGGCAGTATGATATTGTGTTCCAAAAATAAAATTCTAACCCCACGCACAGACTGAATGGACCCTCGTCTCAACCAAGGGGATCCAAAGAAACCTGAAAATCTAGTTTGGATCATGATGGGATGGTGGAGTGGGGCAGGGGATGTTGAACATGACTCATTATACTCTCCTCTTTTTGGAATTCAGGCACAAAATTGACCAGCATTAACATTATAACAGAGATCCTAAGACTGACAGAACAGACTCTTTATAGCCATAAGATACCAAATTCTAACCTGTCTCTAGTACAGCATTACATGACAGCAAAGTCCTGAAAGAAAAAACATATTTTGAAATAGCACTGCAAACCTGTCTCTTGTGGAGGAAGTTTTACACTCTATAGAGATTCTCCTTCCTTTACTAGGTCTCTCCAGAGAGCCTGACACCTTTGATAAGAGATGTTCACATCTATTCTCTCTGAAGCCTGCTACCCAGAGGCTTCATCTACATAACAAGAACCTAGGCTTCTCTAGCCCTCCCAACTTGCCTTAACTCAGGCTAGTTTCAACTCTTCAGGCACAGCTTCACCCTTTCAACCAATTGCTAATCAGAAAATCTTTGAATCCACCTACGACCAGTAAGCCCTGCCACTTCAAGTTGTCCTGCCTTTCCTTATTAAACCAATGTATATTTCATACATATTGATTGATGTCTTATGTTCCCTAAAACACATAAAACCAAGATGTAACCCAACCACCTTCGGCCAATGTTCCTAGGACCTCCTAATAGGTCATAATCCTTAACCTTGGCAAAATAAACTTCAAAATTGATTGAGACCTGTCTCAGTTACTTTTTGACTTATGACATCATCTTTACTTGATTATATATGCAAAGACCTTATTTCCAAATAAGGTCATATTCACAGGTACCAAGGGATTAGAACTGTAACATATTTTACAATTCAATCCACAGCAGGCCACATAGGAAACCTCAGTTTCAAAACATAGGAATAGTATAGATCATATTCTTTGATCATAATGCATTAAAATTAGAAATTAATAACAAAAATAGGAAAATAAATCTTTGCCACATGAAAATTTTAGAATATCTCTTAACTCATGAGAAATCCAACATGGAAATTAAATCCAACACTGCAAAATCCCTAAAAACTAATGATAAATAAAATTTTAATATAACCACAAGTCAGAAGAAAATTCATAGTTTAAAACAAAAATTACTAAACAGGAAAAAAAAGAAAAATAAGAATTTAGAAAGGAACTTCAAATTACTCTTAAAGAAAGTAGAAGAAAGCAAATTCTATAAATAAAATCCAATCAATGAATCAGAAACAGAAAAGTAATGGAGCTAATACATACATTAAAAGCTGGCTCTTTGAAAAATGAACACACATTAAAATGTATAATCCATGCGTTAGTTACCTAGGCAAGTATAGTGAAAGAAAAAAAATGAGAAATAACCACAGTCACGAAACAGATTTATAAGATAATAATTTAGTCCACTTTGTGCATATAAATTCAATGACAAAGAAGTTTCCCCAAAAAACTAAAAAGTTCCCAGATTGATTCTAGAATTAATTTCTAGGTTTAGGTAATTATAAAAGTTCATCTCCACAGGGTACAGAGGATGAGTAAATGTTATGTGGGACCCAGGACATTTTTGCACTTTTTCATGCACTGTTCTATGCATTGCTCCATGCATGTTAGGCTTTCTAGAATTCCTGGCCAGTACTCACCAAATACTCATCACCACCCCATTACTGTGGTGACCACGCAACTTTCTAAAACACCCTAGAGACAGACAAACCAGTTAGACGGCTGTTGTCATAAATCAGAGGCAGGAGAGGGTAGGGCAGGAGTGAGATGAAGAGGAAACACAGGATTTTTGACACACTATAGTGATTAGAGATTGGTTTAGGAACCAGTTGGAGGGTAACACGGAGAAGGGTGGTGAGAAAATTAGGCTGAGTCTGATTTAGGACACATGAAAATTTTAGAATATCTCTTATACAAAATATCTCATATACAAAAACATGAGCGTTATTCAGTTGAATATGATTTTACTTTCTTACATCCAAACACATTTATTGTGTTAGGTACAAGCATTTGACTACTTCATTATGTCTAATATAGTTATTTTTAGCATTTGTAAGCTAAAATGAATATTATATTACAGGTAGATCATTATGTTAGATTTTGCAAAGTATGTGCATAGCAGGACTATACTTACCTATGAATTTCATTTCAGGAAAATAAGCGAGTTGCAAAATATAGTCCTTTTGATTGTCCCCAAACCCCTCCCCAGCCATCCTCCTGAAGGGCCTGTTGCCGACCCCAAGACACTGCTTCCAGCAGACTCAAGTCTTTGCAGAACCCATGATTATGACAGTTGTCTCTACTCTCAGTTACCAAATGCCCTGATATTTATAGGCTCTCTCTACAGACACAACTGCAACTGTCCTTCTAAGAGTGGCTACAATAAATCCTAAAGTCCTGCAGCCTCAGGGAGGGCAGGAAAATGGTGGGGGCTGGCTCAAATTCCTAAACACACACACACACACACACACACACACACACACACACACACACACACACACACACGCCCTCTAAGACAATACTTAGAACACATTTAGGTAGCTTACAGCACGCGAAGCAGGGAAGTAGTAAGATTTTGTCTCTAATAAGCATTATGCAGCACTAAATGGAAGAAAAAACCAAATAGCGAAATCACTCTCCCTCTCCGAAAGAAAACTACTAGCAAATAAAAATACTATTGTCTGCCAGAGTCCACACGGCGCCACGTGGAAAGTTCCCCAAATTACATTTCATGGATGAAGTTTGATTTAGAAAAGCACCCCCGGCATAGTGTTCTCAAGAGCTTTCAACACAGAGCCATGCTTCAGACACGCAAAGCTTCTGCTCTCTCCTATGCTATTAACATTACATCATAGCCTTCAATTCCCTAAAAGATAGAATCTTTTCTCCCCCCACTGGCTTAAGAAAGGCTAGTCTACTAAAGAGGTTTTGTCCACCTGCTGCGGGAAAAATTGGTGAGTCACTAATAAGAAAATTTACTCACCGTTAGAGGAATTAGGAAAAGGAGGACTATTGGGTGTGAACTCAAAGAATGGGAGTCTCTACAGCCTTAAAAAGTCCAGTATCAGATAGAGTACATTACATTATCACATTCATTCCTTCATCCATCCACTCTGTCATCTATCCATTCACCCATTAATCAAGTATGAACTGTGTGCCAGTCAAACAAAAGCAGAACAAAACAACACCTTCCCCCCAACACACACACAAAACACACACAAGTGCCATAATACAGGGCAACAAGCGCCATGTTAAGAGATGAATGGATGTACCAGGTGGTAAGGGACCACTCATGACAATGCACAACCAGACTTGGAGGGAGAATTTTGGGACTTCCTGAAAAGAGCAGTATTTAGGCTGAGACGTAAGGTTCAGCGGGAGCTGGCCAGGTGTAGGCAAGATAGTGATGGAGCAGAGGATAAAGGGTCTCAGAGGTATATTTGAAAAGTCCTAGGGTCAAGCCAAGAAAAGAGAAAGTTGCAGCCTTGAGTAAGAATGGGGGCAACAAGAGAGAAGCCTGAAGAAACAGAGTGCCAGGATACAGGCAAGGGATTTAGACTCCCTCCTAAAGTCACAGAAATAAATGACGAATTTAAACAAAGGAGTGGTATGATCCACCTGTCCTGCTTTATTTTACAACATACAATATAAAGTATTTGCAGTATTTTTTTTCTTTCTGCTTCCCATAACTCTGGACATGTGCTTCATAAGGACAAGGTCCTCAACAGCTTTGTTCACTGCTTAATCCCTAAAGCAAGAAGCAAACAATGTCTGACACGAAGTAGACAATAAATATTTGTTGCATTAATCAAAGGAGGGATGCATGAGTGTATTCTTCCGTGTATTCTTAGCACCCAACTGAATCCCCTAGCACGTTTACTCAGAAACTTGGTCACAGGGATATTTCTGTGCTAAATTTTTCCCATTACCCAGTTTCAAGAGACAACTAGTTTGCATTCGAAGTACAAAATATCCTACATTTGGAAGCTCTGGCAGATCAAATGCTACTGGAAAAATTTAAGGGCTAATAAATTATGAATGAAATTAATAAAATACACTTTTTTAAAGGAATTTTAAAGTACCTGGTGAAAGCTAGATTTCTAAGGTGGTAACTTTGAGCTGTTTCAGTAGCACCGTGACAGAATAAACATCCCTTCCCTAAGAAAGCAGCTTACAGCTAGTATTTCCACAGAGTCAGTGCCTAAAGCCCAAGAGGCTCTCATGAATTTCATATGTGGTTTAACCTACAAAGATTTGCATGTTTCCTTTAACGTAAAACCAAGTCAATTGATGAGAAGCTGCTGTGTCCATCACATATCTTCTACCAATTTCCTAAGGCATGGCTTTTCTCCTTTCTAAAGAATTTTATTTTTGGTAACTCTGGGCAACTTTTCCTCATCCAGTTGTTCACAATGAATTGATGATTAAATTGTAAGAGTGCCACATTAGTTTGGGACTTTATTTTCTGGATTGAAAAAAGAGAGCATACAGGCATTTTTAGCAGAATGAGAGAAAACTATTCATTAACTCTTCCTCTTCTCACTCCCTTTACTTTTGTTTTCCTTATTCCTTCTTGCTTCTCTCTCACGCATATGCACTCTCTCCTGGGTGAGACATATAGATATGGATATAGATATAGATATAGAGATAGATGTATATATATACACACATACATACATATATAAAGACATTTTGATAAATTATATAGATAAATTTTTCATTTTATACATAATAAAAGTAAATTATATATAATATATATAATTTTTCAAAGTTACTTGATGTAATCAAGTTATTTCTAGAGGCTGGGCATGGTGGTTCATACCTGTAATCCCAGCACTTTGGGAGGCTGAGGCAGGCAGATTGCTTGAGCTCAGGAGTTCAAGACCAGCTTGGCCAACATGGTGAAACCCCGTCTCTACAAAAAATACAAAAATTGGCCAGGCATGGCGGTGTATGCCTGTAGTCCCAGTTACTCAGGAGGCTGAGGCAGGAGAATCTCTTGAACCTTGGAGGCGGAGGTTGCAGTGAGCCAAGATCATACAACTGCACTCCAACCCAAGCAACAGAGTGAGACTCCATCTCAAAAAAAAAAAAAAAAATCTAGAGATAAATTAAGCCATATTTAATGTCTGGACACCAGAGGATCTAGACTGGTGAAAACTCACATTGCATCTGAGGATAGCTAGCCTGCTGCAGTGATTGATAGAGATGTTTTAGTTAAGACCCTGAACTCCTTACCATGAGATCACAGATAGCCCTCAGGCTTGAGGATGCCCAAATTTAGAAATCACAGGATGAAGATCTCATACAATGAAATTTATAAAACATCCTATTAGACCTGCAGGTATAAATATGATATCAAACTTTCTCCCAGATGTGAATTTAAAACAAGACCTATTATCCGTGGCATCAAGCTAAAATAATATGTATGGACTACATTCTTTAAATAAATTATGCTATAGTTGAAGATCAGATATATCCAAAAGGCACACTGATACATATTAAAACTTTAAACAACTTTTTATTGGAAGAAGTCTTAAAAAGCTAAAGAAATGAGTCTAATAAGCACTTTGATTTTTGTTTTTTTGAGACAGGATCTCACTCTGTGGCCCAGGCTGGAGAGCAGTGGTTTAGTCACAGCTCACTGCAGCCTTAACTTCCCGGGCACAAGCAATCCTCTCACCTCAGTCTCCCTAGTAGTTGAGCCTACAGATGCACATCACCATACCTGGCTAATTTTTCTAATTTTTGTAGAGATGGGGTTTTGCCATGTTGCCCAGGCTGGTCTTGAACTCCTGGAGAGGAGTTAAGCAACCACCTGAGGTTGCCCAGCTAGGAAGTGGTGGAGCTGGGATCCAAATCTGTGCACATATACCCCAGACTGAGCTTGTGAGCTCAGATTGCAGCTCCTGAGTGAAGAGATGCTTTTACCACCTACATCATAGAAAACATGGATGCTGTCAAGCTCAACTTCCTTCATCTTTGCCATATCCCCTTTTAATGTACCTATCTATATTCTCACTCATTACATATATGCCTCCTTCTCCACTTCTGTCTATAGAGCTAACCCTTAAACGTGCGATCTTCACTTATCTCCTCTACCACCTGATACTACTCATCTCCTCTCTCCATCAATCTCTTGTTCCCTTGTCTTAATTTTCTACCTCCCCAATGGCTTTCCCTTAAATTATAAAATGTGAAATCCACTGCCATCACTAGGGGAAACCTGCTTCTCTCTGTATTGACTATCCAATTTTTTCCCTCTGTTTACAATCACATTTCTTGAATAATAACTTCACTCTCACCCTCAATACTTCCATCAGCTCCAGGCTTCATGGGCTCTCTAAAATTGTTCTTAATAAGATCCAACATTACCTTCTATCTGTTCGCTTAGTCCAATAGATCGTCAGGCCTGATCTTACTTGGCTCCGTAAGATATCTGACATCACAGCCAACACCTTCCTTCTTGAAAGCCTCTCGTCTCTTCACTTCAATGACATCTCTATTTCCTCCCTTCTCTGTCCTGTTACCCAGCCATTCTTATCAAATGTTGGAGTCTCCAAGATTCTATTCTTGAACTTCTTTTCCTACTCAATGTGTTCTCCCCAGATGATCTCTTTCTTATGGCAGTTTCAGGCCTGAATTTCCAATGACAATTGTTATCAACAACATGATATTTTATCAGCCACTCAAACTGTGTGGCTCAAACTGAACTAATTGTCCCCTGACCACAAATTCTCATGCATTCCTTGCAGGTTAATTATATCACAACAAACTAACTGAAATCAAAAATTGGGAGTCAACCTCGATTCTTTCCTCTCCTTTATTTCCTACCGGTCGTGAAATCTTTGCTAATTTAAACTCCTGGATATCTTTGGAATTCATATCCTCCTTTCCCTCCTCATTGTCATATCTTTCTTCAAAGTTGTGCCTGTATTATTGCAACATTTTAAAATTTATTTTCCTGAACTTCTGCCATACTTCTTAAATCAACTCTATATGTGATCCTCAGAGTGATACTTCTAAGACACAAATTTGATCAACCATGGTAGGCTAAATAATGGCTCCCCCAAAGATATTTACATCCTACCCTGTGAATATGCTACCTTACATGGAAAAAGGGGCTTTAAAAATATGATTGAGTTGAGAATCTTGAGATGGAAAGTTATCCAGTATTATCTGAGTGGGCCCAATGTCCTCACAAGGGTCCTTATAAAGTGAGAAATAAGAGGATCAAAGTAAGTAGTAGGTGATGTGACAGCAGAAGCAAGAGGTTGGAGTGATTTAAGGAAGTGGGAGATCAGGAAGTGTTAAGCACAAAGTTAACTTATACCTTTAAAAAAAAAGGAAAATTAAAGACAACAAGCAGATATATACATTATATAAATAAACACAAGAACTTGTTAAACTTGTGAAACACAGGACTACCCAAGACAAATGTTTCCCTTTCCATTTCTACTCTAGGCTATATGAGGAATCTATTTTTCTCTTTTTCTTAGAACTCTTACTCTGCAGGATCAAAATGTCAAGCAGTGACCACATAAGTGGGAAGTAGATCAAGACGTGCTTATAATTACATTCTTGTGGTTGGTATAAAATTCTGTACCACAGCCATTCCTTAGAAGCCAGCTCATGGGATCAAACAGACAAGCAAGCTCACTTCTCAAGCCCACGATGTTACGTATTAGTCCATATTGGTGAGTTCCTTTGTGCCCAAACTTAGCTGCCGCACACTACAGTGATAGGAAACTGCCAACAGTTTTTTGTCAAACCCACTACAGTGGATCCCACAATGGGCTGAGACCTCGTCTAGAGTCATCAGGTTTTCCAGGATGTGCAGATGGCCTGGAAACTTGGCCAAGAGGTAGGGATCAGCACTCTTTAGTAAGCTGTATATCCACCAAATGCTGTGACACAAGGAATGGGCCTCAAAATGTTTCAGGCCAGCACAGCTTTGTCTTTGCAAGTCATTTTTCAGTGGCAGTTAAATATTGTGGCAAAGCCAAGGTACAGACTCACGTGCATTAAAATATGCTTATGAGTAATAATACCATAAGTATTTCCATGTGCATTAGGTGTCAAGAACTTCACACACATCATTTCATTCCCTTATCATGGCACTCAGTCTGGTGGGTATTACTGTATCTGTTTCACAATAGGAAACCCAGTATCTGAGATGTTCAGTGCCTTTCCCAGTTACCCAGTTGGTAAGTGGGAAAGTCAGGACATGAATTTTCAGTGATTTTATTAAAAAGGCAGGATGATACAGTGATTTAAAGGCCTAATTCTAGACCCAGGTTGCTTAGATTCAAGTCCCAGCTCTGCCATACTCTGTTAGTATAACTTTGGCCAAGTCACTATGCCTCAGTTTCCTCATCTGTAAAATGGGGATCATAATAGTATCTACCTTATGGTACTATTATTTTATTTATTGTTATTGTGAGGATGAAATTTGTTACTATAAATAAAATGCACTGCCTGACATATGCACTATATAAGCATTGCAATTATTATAATTGATTCCAAACTCATTGATGTCTTTATTTCAGTCTTCCTCTCCACCGAGTGTGTGTGTGTGTGTGTGTGTGTGTGTGTGTGTGTGTGTGTGTTGAAACTTAACATCTGGAATGGAGGTGGAAGGCAAGACTGAGAGATTGGAGATGGCGTCAGAGAGCTCCTAGCAGGTATGTCAAGGCTCTGATCCAATCTCTGGGCTAGCAGAAGCCTCCAGCAGCTCTCTGGGGCAGGAGCATAAGGAAACTCTAAGATCTGTACTTCTGCTTTAGCACTAAACCAGTACAATGTAGTCTCCCAACCAGGAAATGGATGGAGACTCCAACTCAGATGCTGTAGATCTTTGCTAAGGCCATTCAATCCATTCACAATAGAGTCAAAATGAGATCTCTGGAAGTTCTGAAAACTCTTATTGTGATTCAGGTCACAGAATTAATTTTCTGATCCTATAAGCTCAATATCTATGTCCTATCTTGAACCCTTTATCCACTTTTATGTACATAAATCTTTGTCTTTATCAGTGACTATTTTAGAGTGTACCCCTAAAAATAGCATTAAGTACAAGGATTTAACATTTTAAGGCTCATCATCCATACTGCAAACAGCTTTCCAGAAAAGCTGTGTCAATTCGCACTGGCTCTGCCACACCTACCCACCACTAAGTATCATGATTGAAAAACGGAAATCTTTGCAGTACAGGGACAGATAATGTCAGATTGAATTACCTTGTGTTTCTTTTATTACTACAGAGGTCAATTTTCTCATATCTGGAAGCCATTTGTATTACTTATTTTTAAGGTATTTATACTTTCAGTACATTTTTTCTGTTGGGGGATCCTGCTTTATTTAATGATTTCTACAAGATCTTTTTATAGTAATAAAATTATTCTTTGGTTATTTTGATGGCAAATGCTTTCCCAGTAAGTTGTTTGCCAATTAATTTATTTACTTTAAAGTATTTTCTAATAGAATCTTTTGAAGTTGTCTCATAAAAATTCAGAAAGTATTATTTTATACTTTCCTATATCAAACTGATGTATTTAAAAAACACATCACTCTTATTTATTATCTTTTGGCTAAAATTATACATTTCTTAAAAGGTACACAGAAATTTAAGTTTTGTCAGAATTCCAGCTCTTTGAGGAAGGAGGTCTGACTATTTACTCCCCACTGTGTCCCAAAACCAAACCTACAGCTGTTCCTAGCACACAGTAGGTATACTATTTAGTTCAGGTATACTATTTTACTAATAAGTTCAGTATTATTTTGGAATTTGTATGAAAGTAGCAAATCAGACTCCCAAATACTTTCCAGGAATAAAAGACAATTACTGCTGACATGCAAGCTCTCCAGTGAGATTGCCTGGTTTCCTGGTCAAGGTATATTTCATTGTTCTAATTTAAGAGCTTGTAAGCTGGGGGCTCTTGTTTTCTTTGTATTTCTAATTTTTTTACAGCATAGATAAATCAAAATTCCATGTGTTTCCCATGGTCTACCTGATAAACATACTTCAAAGATATGTCTGCCCTTGCTCTTGGTCTCCACTGTCACCACTCCAGTCTAAGCCAGCATCATGCTATCCTGACCTCCTACAGTGCCCTCCAACCTAGTCCTTTGATTCTTCTTTTGACCTCTTCCAATACCTTTCCATACACAGCTTGAAGCATGAGCATCTTAAATCATCAATCTGATGATGTCACTCCCCTTCTTAAAACCTTTTGTTGTTTCCCAGTATTTTAAGGATAAAATCCAAAATCCAAAGTCCCACATGTTCTGGATGCATCTACATTGTGAAAAGACCTTCTCCACCTTTCCTATTTACTTTCACTATGCTCAACCACACTGGCTGCATTTCAGATCCCCAAATAAGCCTCCTATTCTGCCCAGGACCACCCCACAGTCTGCTGCCTCTGTTCAGACAGCTCTGCACACCTCCTGCCTGGCCAGCTCCCTGTCATCTGGCCACTTCCTATGTGTCACCTTCCCCTATAATATGCTCCTTCCCCAGGCTACCTTAGGTGCCTATCTTAGTCTTTCCAGCACCCTATGGTCCACCATACTTTTAGAGCATTTTTCACAGTTTGTAATTGTATATTTAGTTGTATAATTCTTTGCTTTACCTTTCCCCTAAAGGACTGTAAGTTCATGGGGGCAGGAATGGGTCTGTTTTGCCCATCACATATCTCCAACACCTAGCAAAGGCCTGGTACATATTTTGCACTCAAAAAATGCAAGCTGAGAAAATGAGTGCATGAGAACAGCTCAAGGCCATCCTCTCCCAGGAAGCCTTCCTCACTTATGCCCAGGCCACTGGGTTACTTCCCTTTTCAAATACTCAGTAACATTCTTGTTTGCAATAAGACAGAATAAGCACCACTTATTTTGTTCCAGATGATGTATTGCACTGTAAGCAAAAATGCTTCTGGTTTTTATTTTTAAAGTCTTCCTTATTTTTCCCCCTACAGTGCTCATTGAGGGCAGGATTTGGCCCCCAGCTCCTTCTGGAACCCAATTTCCTTCCATGTTCCCTATCACAACCCTACAGACACTGGCCTCCTTGCTGTTCTCAAATACTCTTGACACATCCTTGCTCAGAGACTTTGCTGTTCCCACATTTGGAATTCTCTGCCCTGAGATGTTTGAATGTCTGCCTTCCTGCTCATGCAGCTGCTGCCCAAAGGTCACCTCTTCAGATAGCCTTTGCCTCCACCTTCTCTCCCACTTATCTCAATCCTGCTCAATTGTTCTTCCCAGCTGTTGTCACTATTTACCATTACACCACACATTAACACATGTTGTTTATCATCTGGCTCCCTTGCCAGAACACAGGCCCTGTGAGGATATGGGAACTTTTCTGTTTGATTCCCACCATGTGCCTGGCATGAAGTATTTCCTTTTAAATACTTATCAAATGACGGAATTTCAACTCCAAGGAGAACCTAGAGGCCTAGTGTAGATAAAAATGAACATAGTAGATTTTAGCTGGTTTAAGAAACTAATCCAACCTTCACTTGAGGATCGTAACTCAGAGAAGGAAGACAGGCATTCTTTAATCGATAGATTGCTTCAGATGCAAAGAGGCAAGTAAAGGAAAGAAGTTGGTTAAAAAATAAAATAAAGTAGAGAATAGTGGAGAAGAGAAACTAAAGTGGATGAAAGACAAAAATATGAAAATTGCAAGGATCAGAAATCCTTTCAGTAGCTATGTGACCACCAGAAAGTCAAAGTCCTGACTTGCTCCTCCTCCTGACAAAGGTGGCTCTGAATGAAGGGCAACCTCTCCATGCCGGCAAATCCGCTCAATGTTCATGCATTCGATGAAGTATGCCACACAAGATAGTAATCAGAGGAAACTCCCAAAAATCAAAATAAAAAGAATTAAAACAGTGAAGAAAGAATTATGGATAATAATAAAAAAGAAATTAGATGATAATGGGGAAACATATAACAGTCTCACAATGAAAAGAATATTTCCTTTATTAAACATAACTGGTATTACATCATTACATCAAACGGGTTGACCTGTTCAGAGTTCCCAAAAAGAAAAGGGTATAAGATGTTGTCACGTTGAAAACCACCCCAAATCTATAACTTGAGATTTGCATATATATATGAAAACATAAACAAGTTGGGTGTGTTAAGGCCTTGTTGTAACAGAGCAGTAAGAACTGTAATAAATTGGGGTGGGTGGGAGGTTTGCTGCTGATTGTCTGACTCAGAAAACAAGCCCTTAATCAGTTCTTGACCAGCCCTGTGTTTTGATTGCCCAACATAAGATTAGAATTATGTTGGCAGTTTAATATTCAATTGTTGAGGAGAAAATAGCTATGTCTATAATATCACATCCGGTCTCAGAATCTGCAACCCTCTGAAACAGTCTGGCTTCTACCATTAGCCATTACTTTGACCTTAGCTGATCAAACTTCTTGTATCTCAAAAATTAACTTCTATCAGAAATGAGTTCTTAAAATTCTTATTGACTTCCTTGATAAACTAATAATTCAGACTACACGAATCTGACAATAAAATTGAGAAAAGTCCAGGCACAGTGGCTCATGCCTATAATGCCAGCACTTTGGAAGGCAGAGGAAGGAGGATTGCCGGAGGTCAGGAGTTTGAGACCAGCCTGGTCAACACAGCAAGACTCTGTCTCTACAAAAAAAAAAAAAAAAAAAATAGAAATAAGGCTGGGCGCGGTGGCTCATGCCTGTAATCCCAGCACTTTGGGAGGCCGAGGCGGGCGGATCACAAGGTCAGGAGATCGAGACCATCCTGGCTACCACGGTGAAACCCTGTCTCTACTAAAAATACAAAAAA
Source organism: Homo sapiens (assembly GCF_000001405.40). Lineage (NCBI taxonomy): Eukaryota > Metazoa > Chordata > Mammalia > Primates > Hominidae > Homo > Homo sapiens. The sequence goes on from NC_000012.12 coordinate 68,111,563, forward strand.
TTAGCCAGGCGTGGTAGCGGGTGCCTGTAGTCCTAGCTACTTGGGAGGCTGAGGCAGGAGAATGGCATGAACCAGGGAGGCAGAGCTTGCAGTGAGCCAAGATCAGGTCACTGCACTCCAGCCTGGGCGACAGAGCGAGACTCTTTCTCAAAAATAAAATAAAATAAAATAAAATAAAATAAAATAAAATAAAATAAAATAAAATAAAATAAATAAAAGTTTAAAAACACGTTTTAAATGGAGGAAAAAAATGTGTTAATTATGGGATTGATATTTACATTGCAAATCAAGATTTAGGGAAAAAAGAAGTATATATATAAAACTCATAACTGAAGAAAATCTAAAGTATGAGGGAAAAATGGAGTAAGCAGTATATTAAATATGATTGTCACTTGTGTATTTAACTTTTCATCTTTTTCTTTGAATAAACTAACCATTCATTAGTAATAAGTGATAGCACACATTATTTATTTGTTCTTTTCCAAAAATATTCAGAGTAAACTATAAAACCCTTATATACAATGATAAATTCAAAACACATAATTTTACTTCTGGTCCAATTTGAAAAGCCATGCAATTAGATGCAAAGTCTCTTTCATTGGTCCCTGGAGCTCCAGAAGTTTTATCAGTGAGTCAGCATCTCTCCTCCTGTTTCTCCCTTGATAAAATGAAACTTACTGGGTGAAAGAAACAGAAAAGAAGGCAGGAGATCAAAGGATCAATTTCTTCTTCACTGATATTTTTAGAAGAGCTATGAAATTTTGTTTACAGATGAACTTCATAATTCTCACCATGATTTGAAGGTGGAAAGCAAAACAGTGAAAGAAATACACAAGTGTTAGAGCCTTAAAAATGACATTGACAATTACGTTATCATTTTATTAATTATATTCTCTGAAGCAGAATTCAGCATTTCCACCCACGTTTTCGTCACTGTGAATTCTTGAAAGAGAGTGTAGCATTAGAGTATTTGAAAGACATTTATCACTTTATCATGATATGCATAAGCTTAGGTGAGAAAAATTCAAATGATTCTATGATTGTCTGATGGTTCATTTTATAATCAATGGTTTTAGGATTCTATTCTGCACTGTATTAATCTGCTTAGGCTGCCATAACAAAACATCATAGAGTGGGTGGCTTAAACAACAGAAATATATTTCTCACAGATCTGGAAGCTGGGAAGTCCAAGATCAAGATGCTAGCAGGTGAAGTTTCATTCTGAGGCCTCCTCTCTTGGCTCATAGACAGCTACCATCTTGCCATGTGCTCACATGATCCCTTCTTTGTGTGTACAAGGGAGTGAGAGAAAGAGAGAGAGAGAGAGCAAGCTCTCTGGTGTTTCCTCTTTTAAGGTCACTAATCCCATCAGACCAAGGTCCAACTTTCATGACCTCATTTAACCCTAATTAACTCCCCAAAGTTTCATCTCCAAATACTATCACATTGGGCATTAAGGCCCATTTGAATTTCAAGGGACACAAATGTTGAGTCCACAACATGCACGATAAGGCACATATGTCACTTAGTCCTTAAGTCACTAAATAATATATATTTTAAGAATAAAAAATCTAATGTCCTAATAATTCAGGTAATCAAAAATATGAGTATATTTTATACATATAAATGTTTATTTTGTATGTAAATAATATATATAATACATATACATATATACTATATATATGTATATGTATATTTTATATATGTAAAATATTAAGTTCAGTTCCTTTATATAAATTAATAAGCATCAATTAAATGATGAGTCCTTTATATTCATTTTTCAGATGTCATACTTGAGAACCACAGAAATGAAATCTTGCTCCAGAACACACAGCTGGTTGGTGGCAAGGCCCCGCCAGCTGATTACCAGTCCAGTGCCCTTTCCAGCAAACCACACCAACCTTAACTGGTATGAATGCATCTCTACATATCAGTCAATAAGGCATATAATAACCTTGGGTCATATTAGAGTTTGAGGGATAAGTCCTAGGTTCTACATCACTGACCTCTAGGAGCCAACACAGATATCAGAGACCTGAGCCCTATCTCAAGACACTACAGACAGTGATGTGTTACACTGGCAGACATCCCCAATGCAATGGAAGAGGGCTTCAAGCAGGCTCTTCAAAACCTTTTCCAGACTCATAGATGCTGCTGGAAGGTTCAGGAACTAATTCACTTTGAGCAGAATAGGAAACATATAGTGATCCAAGTTCCTAAGAACCCAGTAGCCATTTTTAATGGAGACAGACACCAGAGTTTCAATGGGGGCTACCACCAGGAGGAGCTCCTGAGAGCCTCTGCCACACAAGCTGATGGTAGGAGCCCAGGTGACAAAAGAGACTGAGGGCACCTCCCAAGGACTACTGCAGAGGGTACTGTCAGACCCCATGCTGAGGGAGAGGGGCAGTGGCTGTGCCTGGCCAGGCTAGTGACCAGAGATTATGTGTGTTGGTTCTTTTCTTTCAGAGCATTTATCGCAATTGCAATCAGTTAATTACATTATTATATGGTTAAAGTCTGTCTTCTGAGCTGGATCATAACCCCCACAGTCCACAACGGTTTCTATTATCTTTACATTTCCCCCCCAACACCTTGAATAGTATCCAGCCCACAGTAACTGCTCAATAAGAAGCTGTTTAGTTGAGAAAAGGAATGTCAACTACCTTTTCTAACACCTTCAGGATGAAGAATGCACAAGGAATGAAGGTTAGAAAGAGGAAATAGAGATTGCTAGTCTTCCATTTCATTCTTCCTTGAGCAATGTGTCTCAAAATACGATGAAGTTGAAAGCTCTAAAATGGGCGGAAATTTAAGTAATAACAACAACAACAATAATACAAAGCTCTAATTTGCATCTTTAATGCATTTTATTCTTCCCAAGTAATAACATATACTCATTTTCATTTGGTTTTCATGATGTAACAGTTCCTGTTTATGATAAGGAAACTGTCAGAGAGATTATAACTCCTCCAGTATCAACAAGCTATGAAAATATGAAACCAGGATTCGAATTCAGGTCTCACAGTTCCACACCCACTATTTTTTCACTTCAACTACATTAAAACAATAAAAAATATTAGTAAATGCAAATGTCTGAAATAAATGAGGAAAATCACCATTTTAAAATTAGCAAGCTGCTTCTGTCTTCTAGACTAGAGATTTGGATTTATCTTTGTGGCAGACAGTCCCGTTGTTCTGGGAAAAGGAAAAAGAAAACATATGCTTGAGAGGGGCTCTGCGGTTATGCAAGTAGAAAGCAAACATCTGCTCGCCTTTTTTGGAAAAGACTCGAATGCAGTGAAACATCCCTAATGTTCATGCGTCCTTCATTCACTCCGTATTTACTGAGTACCATGTGTGCAAGTCACTTCAGAATGAGACACTGGATGCCATATAATAAAGTCAACTAGGAAGGTCTTTGATAAACCTTTATTCTTGTGAATTATGTTTCAGAAAGAGAAATGTTTTGTTCCCAGTGAACATTTTGTCTGTTCTATTTAACCTACAACCTATGTGGACCCCCTTGCAAAGTGGGTGTATCAATGTTTGAGCTCTTTGTAGAAGCTGAGGAGTTGGGAGGAAGAGACTTCCTCAAGGAAGTACAGACTTGCACATCCTGAAGGAAAGACCAACACTCTCTCAGGGTCTGGTGCCACGCAACCCAAGCTAGTGTAAAAAATCCCACTGAAAACTTTGTTTGAGAGGAAGAGCCAGATGCCAGGAAGCGTTAATGTCTGACTTGAGTGTTTTGATGATTTGAGGGAGCTGGAGGTTAAACCTACACCCCTGCAAATAAAGGTAGAGTTTTTCCTAAAGAATGTTTATACTTCCAGTCTGTCACTGCACACAGGCAATTCTAGTACAGAGAATGCAATTGTGGCAGTGGGCGTTAGAGTATGGAGAAGTCTATTTCCCATCTCTAGGGCCTGGGGAAATTTTACAAGGTTTCCTCATAAGGCTTGGTTCCTTCTTATAAGTAGGGTGATTGGGGAGGACCAGACTTTGCCTAGGTTGAGGACCACTGGGAGCCAATTGATTTTCACAGCTCTAAGAAAAGCCACAGTTAGAACAGGGTTGATTTCAATTCTACAGTGGGCATACCTCAGAGATACTGTGGGTTCAGTTCCAAATCACCACAATAAAGCAAATATCACAATAAAGTGAGTCACACAAATTTTTTGGTTTCCCAGTGCATATAGAAGTTATGTTTACACTATACTATAGTCTATTAAGTATGCAATAATATTATGTCTAAAAAACAATGTACATATCTTAATTTAAAAATACTTTACAGGCTAGCGTTGGTGGCTCATGCCTATAATCCTAGCACTTTGAGAGGCAGTCGTGGGAGAATCACTTGAAGCCAGGAGTTCAAGACCAGACTGGGCAACATAGCAAGACCCAGTCTCTACCAAAAAAATTTAAACATTAGCTGGGCATGATGGCATGCGCCTCTAGTCCTAGATAGTCAGGAGAATGAGGCAAGGGGATCTCTTGAGCCCAGGAGTTCGAAATTACAGTGAACTCTGATCATTCCACTGTACTCTAGTCCAGGTGACAGAGTGAGACCATGTCTCGAAAACATAAAAGATATTTTATTGCTAAATATCGAAAATGATTATCTGAGCCTTTGGCAAGTTGTAATAGTTTTTGCTGCTGGAGGGTCTTGCCTAGATGTTGATGGCTACTAGCTGATCAGGATGGTGGTTGTGGAAGGTTGGGGTGGCTATGGCAATTTGTTGAAATAAGACAACAATGTGCTTTGCTGTATTGATTGACTCTTCCTTTCATAAAAGATTTCTCTGTGGCATGCAACACTGCTTGATAGCATATTACCCACGGTAGAACTTCTTTCAAAATTGGAGCCAATCCTCTCAAATCCTGCCACTGCTCTATCAACTAAGTTTATGTAATATTCTAAATCCTTTGCCATCATTTCAACAGTGTTCACAGCATCTTCACCAAGAGTAGATTTCATCTCAAGAAATCACCTTCTCTGTTCATCTCTAAGAAGCAACTCCTCACATACTCAAATTTTATCAGGAGGTTGCAGCAATTCACTTGCAGCTTCAGGCTCCACTTCTGCTTCTTTTGCTATTTCCACCACATGTGCAGTTACTTTCTCCACTAAAGTCTTGAATCCCTTAAAGTCATCCACGAGGGTTGGAATTAACTTCTTCCAAACTCCTATTAATGTTTATATTTTAAACTCCTCTCATGAATCATGAAAGTTCTTAATAGCAGCCAGAATTGTGAATTTTTTCCGGGTGATTCTCAGTTCACTTTTCCCAGATCTATTCATGGAATCACTATCTATGGCAGCTATAGGCTTTTAAAATTTATTTCTTAAATAATACAACCTGAAAGTTGAAATTACTCCTTGATCCATGGGCTGCAGAATAAAGCCTAACACAGAAGGCATGAGCTCTTGGGTGACTAGGTGCATTGTCAATGAGAAGTGACATTTTGAAAGAAATATTTTTTTCTGAGCTGTAGGTCTCCACAGTTGGCTTAAAATATTCAGTAAACCATGCTGTAAACAGATGTGCTGTTATCCAGGCTTTGTTGTTCCATTAACAGAGCACAGGCAGAGTAGATTTAACTGATGTTAAATTCTTAAGGACTTTAAGATTTTGGGAAGGATATATAAGCATGGGTTTCCACTTAAAGTCACAGCCACATTAGCCCCCCTAACAAGAGAGTCAATCTGTCCTTTAAAGCTTTGAAACCAGGACTTGACTTCTCCTCTCTGGCTATGAAACTCCTAGATGGCATATTCTTCCAATATAAGGCTATTTCATCTGCATTTAAAATCCATTGTTTAGTGTAGCCACCTTCAACATTGAACTTAGCTACATCTTTTGCATAACTTGCTGCAACCTCTCCATCAGTACATGCAGCTTCACCTTGCACATTTGTGTTATAGAGACAGCTTCTTTCCTTAAATTTCATGAACCGACTTCTGCTTCCTTCAAACATTTCTTCTGTAGCTTCTTCACCTCTCTTAGCCTTCACAGAATTGAAGAGATTTAGGATTTTGCTCTGGTTTAGGCTTTAGCTTAAGAGAATGTTGTGGCTGGTTTGGTCTTCTATCCAGGCTACTGAAACTTTCTTCATAGCAGCAATAAGATAGTTTTACTTTCTTGTCACTAATGTGTTCATTGATGTCACACTTTTAATTTCCTTCAAGAACTTTTCCTTTGCATTCACCACTTGGCTAACTGTTTGGTGCAAGAGGACTGGCTTTCAGACCATCTCGGCTTTGGACATGCCTTTCTCACTAAGCTTAATCATTTCTAGCTTTTGATTTAAAGTGAGAAAACATGTGACTCTTCCTTTCACTTGAACACTTACGGGACATTGTAGGGTGATTAATTGTCCTGCTTTCAATATTGTTGTGTCCCAGAGAATAGGGAGGCTCAAGAAGAGGGAGAAAAACAGGGAACACCTGGTTGGTGGAGCAGTTAGAACACACACAACATTTATCGATTAAGATCTCTGTCTTACAGGGGCACAGATCTCGGCGCCCCAAAACAATTACAATAGTGACATCAAAGATCACTGATCACAGATCACCACAACACATATAATAATAATGAAAAGGTTTGAAACATTATGAGAATTATCAAAATGTGGCACAGAGATACAAAGTGAGCATATGCTGTTGGAAAAACAGAGCCAATAGACCAGGTGGATATAAGGGGTTACCACAAACCTTCAATTAGTAAAAACCACAATATCTGCAAAACACAGGAAAGCGAAGCGCAATAAAACAAAGTATGCCTATACTTACGTGGTTGGCCTCAGTTGTATTACGGGGAATTATGGAAGGGCCTGTGCTACATACAGTTCAGACAAGCTGGAAAACAGGAGGGCAGAGGTCTATTTTCTGAGATCAAGCAGAGGGTATGAGAGTGGTCTCTGGAAGGTGGCAGGGATGATCACAGCAGCCCAGCCCCGAAGGTCATGACAGCGCAGAGGAAGACAGAGACCTGGGGAGTGGAGGAGGGAGGAACAGTGAAACCTGACACTGAGAGCTCTCAGAATACTGAGAGAGCAGTTGAGGTAGGGGGTTCCAGTTTTTAGCATTTGGGCAAGAAAAGGAGGGGAGTACACAATTTCGTAATTTAGGCAATTACAAAATAAATAAATAAATGTCTCTATTCTGTAGTCATGCTGATGAGGCCTGAGACATATGGGTCAAAGCCCTCTGTCTCTAACTGCCCCATCCCTCAGATTGCCAAGAGCAATAGGCTTCTGGAAAAAGATTCAAATGACCTTAAGATAGGGTCAACAAAAGTTGTTACAGATGATTAAATGTATGTCTGAAACACTGATTTATGCCATTGGAGTAATTAACTTACCCTCAGGTATCCCCCCTTCTTAACCATGAAGAGTTCTCAATGGCCCCAGGACCCTGACTTAGGCTATGACTTAAGGGATCCCTGGGTGTTTCCAGAAGCTAGGCCCAGCCCAGCCCAGAGTGTCCCACCCAGACCTGCCTCTTGCCTGCTGGAGAAAGAAGGGTTGTTTGACATATCCCTGAACAGAGATCAGCCACCTGAAAGAATTAAAAAGACTTAAGAATCCATCACGTGTAAAAAGATCGTCGCACCATCTTCCTACACCTAATCACAATTGAGTGCACATTTTCAGATTAAATGGACAAACGCTTGACTTCTATTTCATATATATCCATATACAAAAAAAATCAGAAAGTGGTATAGAAATTGTATTTACTGAACATTAAGCACAACCCATTTATTTCTATTTAAATAGCACCAAAACCTCAGTAACATTTAACAGGTTAACAATATAGACTTGAGTCATATTGAGTCTGACATTGAGTCAGACCTAGATTTATATCATGCTCTGCCACAGATACTCTGGTATCTTTAAGCTAATTACATATCCCCAAGCCTCAGCTGTCCCCAACTGCAAGATGGCCATGATGACAGATGAGAACAGATAACTCAGAGTGTGGCTATGAGAACTAAATGATTTAACGCCTGTAAAACATTTAGAAAAATGCCTAGCATGTGGTAAGTGCTCATTAAACATAGCTATATTTAAATATTTCTAAAATATTGCCAAATCCAGATGCTAATGACTAGGGCATCCTAAAAGACAGATTTAGAAAGGAAATTGCTGTCTATATTCTGAACAGTACAGTAACTGTGTTTTGACTTTGTCATTTGCCACTTCCATCCAGTGCTTTTCTGGTAGCATGCTGGAAAATGAACCACAGCACACTAACACCCACACCCCAGCAGCTCTCTAAATCAGTTGTTCTTAAATGAGTCAGCACACACCCAAGCATCTTGGTCACTAGTCGGATGTACACAGGCTGCAGGTTCCCAAACAGACTTCAGCTGCTGCTCTGAGTAAACATTTTCTGGCAGCACACCAAGGGGGCGGGTGGGGACACAGGTAGGCATCTTCTCGGGTCTAGGTTCAGATTTCATATTGAACTCAAAATGAGCTGATGAGTTCAAGGTCCCTGTTTCTGCTAAAAATAAGCCTACACAGCAAGGGTGTTGCACTAAACAGTTTGCCCAAGCTGCCTGGAGGAAGCATCTTCTGCCCACATTGCGCCTTGGTGTAACCAACATTCAGAGTCCCACAGTTTCATGACCACCAACTTCACACAATTAGCTGAGCTCTATGTAAAACTGTTTCTATCTGTTCCTACCTAGATTTTTCTCCTTGAGACATAACTCTTCTTTTTAAATTGTGAATGAAGATATCTGACGTGAGTGCTGGGAAAGTCATGGCAAAAGGCCTGGGTGGAAAATCAAAATGTCATCATTATATTCTTTGGGTTCATAACATCCGAGGAAATAGGTACCTTATACCTTGATCTTCTTAGAAGTGAAATAAAAATAGCCCATCTACCTCACAGGGATCACAATTTCATGGTCCTTTGTAAAACTTAAAAAAAAGGTGTTAAGTATAAAATCTCAATTAATGGAATACTCAGGCAAGAAAATACCCTGGTTTATGCATTTAAGTCTTTTTCTAGCCTTTTGTCAAAAGCTTTTCTAAAAATACAGTCACCCATTAACTAAGTACATTATGATGACAGTTTTTAGCTTTGAGGATTTGGAAGCTTGAAATCAATCAAGCACATTAAATAGTACATGTCTTTTGATTTGTGGTCAATTACTATTTCAAAATGCAATTCTTAACCTCTGGTCAGTTGCTTTCCAGTTAGGGTTTATATTTTAGCTAAGAAAGTTGTTGTTTCCCAGGAATGAAATTGAGCTCAATCTAGTTTTCCATGCACAAATTATAGTAACAGGAACACCGCCATCCCTAGTTTCTAAGGAAGAGAACCAGGCATCTTAAAAAGTAAGGTCCTAGGCAGGACTATAAAGCAAACAATGATGAAATTAGCTTTAGAATATGTTTGGAAAATTTGGCTTACACTAATAAGGTACTATTTGAAAGAGATAAATGTTAAAGGCCTGCATTAAAGGTTTTAAAAATAATCGATTATGTACATTTCAGATAGAAAGACCCTGGCTTGCCAAGGTTTAAAAAAAAGTCAGAAGATCTTAGATGACCACAAGCTGAAACTGAGCCACCAGCATATATAATATGATTGCTAAAAGCAGCACTTTCCTAGCAGTTCCACTGTAGTGCAACAGACTACCACATCTTAAAGAACATAGACAGATGAGATCTCTCTTCTTTCATTTCTTTACTCAGCCCACTGCTTTCTAAGTTCTGCCCCCACCCATCACCACCACCAACTCTGAAACTGTGACTGCCAAAGGTCACCAAGGACCACAGATTGGCAAATCAGTGGACTCATTTCTGGTCTAAGAACTTGCCATCTTTCAGCATCTGACATCGTTGACTATACACTCTTCCTTTGGCTTCTCTGATGCCACTCTCTTGGTTCCCCTAAACCCCTGGCTAGCCCTTTCCAGTCCCCTCTTATCTTCCTGACTCTCCATGTTACTGTGACTGAAGATCCAGTCCTTACCCCTCTTTGCTCACTCTCCGACACTACTTAGTGATCTTAACTGCTCCCATAACTTCAACTGCCACCTGCAGAAGAAGCCCCAGATCTTTCAGTCTAGTCTGGACCCATCCCTGAGCACCAAACCTATTCTCCCCAACTGTGCTTGGATCTTCTCACTTCTCCTGATCTTGCTTCTCCTCTTCTGCCTGCTTTTATACAGTGCTTTTATATTGCCAAATAACACCACTATCCATCCAGTGGCCTAAGCCAGAACTTCAGGACTTCTTCAATTCTCCCTATCCCTTAGCTGCTATACTGAATCAGTGACAAAAATTTGGCCTCCTTTGCTTATTTTCTATTCACTTCTTCTTCCCAATAGCTCACCTCACACTATAGTTTATCTAAGAGCAGGAAGAACCCCTGGTTCTTGTCCCTGGGGGTGTAGAAAGATTATCTGTTAGGCTGCCTGCCTCAAAGCACATCATCCAATGATTCTTCTGAAAAAGTTCAACTTTCTATATGCTACTATAAAAAAAAACTTTAATAAAAAACTATTTTTAAAGAATGTGAGGCTAATGCTGATAGGAAGTGAAAATAACTTCTTTTCCTTGATGTTAAGGCATCTTGTAGGAATGAACCAATATTAAGAACTTTTTCTCAATAACAAAAGAAGAATGACTATTATTTATTCTTCCAACAAATATTCATTGACTTTTCATTTTGTGCTAGGTGTTCTTATAAGTGCAGGCTGGCCAGGCTGAGGTGGGGTGGGTAATGGATGATAAGCAACTAAAGAAATGAGAACAGAAGCAGAGTATAACAGAGAGTGACTTGGATGCAGCATTGGATTGAATCATCAGGCAAGGTCTTGCTGAAAGGATGCCATGTAAACTGAGACCTGAATGATTAAAAAAAGAGAGAGAGACAGCCATGGGAAGGTCAGGAGGAAGAACATTCCATACCAGGAGAGCTGTTTGTGGTAAGGCCCTAAGTCAGCTGTTTTAAAGGGATAAATGTTAAAGACCTGCATTAAGTTTCTAAAAAAAAATCAATTACATATATTTAGGATAGAAAGACCTCAGTTTGCCTAGGTTTAAAAAAAAAAAAAAACTCAGAAGATCTTAGTTGACCACAAGCTAAAAATAAGTTCTGCCCGTTGAAAAAATGAAAAATAGTCATGCACGGTTAGTGCAGAGTGAGCAAGGGCTGCCATTGGGTCACATACATCCTATCTATTATCAATAAATTTCAAAATAATCCTACAAGAAACATTTCATTATTCCCACTTAGAAGCTAAGAAAATGAAAGTTAAGAGAGATTAGCTTCATATGACGAGGAATAAAAACCACATTTTTCTTTAGGTTTAGTTTATTCATCTATTTCTAGTTCCTTGCAGTGTAACATTAGGCTGTTTATTTGGGATCTTTCTTCTTTTTTAATGTAGATGTTTATTGCTTTAAACTTCCCTCTTGGAACTGTTTTTGCTGCATCCCATAAGTTTTGGTATGTTGTGCTTCCATTTTTATTTGTCTCCAGATTTTTAAAAAATGTCTCTTTTAATTTATTTGTTGATCCATTGGTTATTTAGAAACATGTTGTTTAATTTCCACATATTTGTAAATTTTCCAAAATTCCTCCTATTATTGATTTTTAGTTTCATACCATTGTTGTTGGAAAAGATACTTGATAAGATTTCAATCTTCTTAAATTCGTTAAGACTTGTTCTGTGGTCTAACATATGATCTATCCTGGGGAATGTTGAAGCAAATGTGTATTCTGCTGCTGTTGGATAAAATGTCATGTATATGTCTGTTAGTTCCATTTGGTATATCCAATGTTTCCTTATAGATATTCTGTCAAGATAATCTGTTCATTGTTGAAATCCCCTACTATTATTGTCTTGCAGTCAATCTCTTTCTTCAGGTCTATTAATATTGGCTTTATATATCTAGGAGCTCTGACATTAGGCACAAATATATTTACAATTATTATATCTTCTTGATGAATTAATCCCTTTATCATTAGATAATGAAGTTCTTTGTCACATTTCACAGTTTTTGACTTAAAGTCTATTTTTTTTTTGACATAACCATAGCTCTCCCTGCTCTTTTTTGGTTTCCATTTGCCTGGAATATTTTTGTTCATCCTTTCATTTTCAACATATGTTTGTCCTTTAAGGTGAAGTGAGTCTCTTGAAGGCAGCATATTATTATTTTTTCACCCATTCAGCCATTCTGTGTGTGTCTTTGGTTAGAGAATTTAATCCATTTATATTCAAGGTAATTATTGATAGGTAAGGACTTACTCCTGTCATTTTGTTAATTGTTTTCTGATTGCTTTGTAGATTCTTTGTTTCTTTCTTTCTCACTGGCTGTCTTCCTTTCTGATTAGATAATTCTTTCTAGTATGCTTTCATTCCTTAAAGTTTTATCTTTTGTTTATCTACTATACATTTTTGCTTTGTGGTTACCCTGAGGCTAACATAAAATATCTTATAGTTATAAAAGGTTATTTTAAGCTAACAACTTAACTTTGACCACATTAAAAAACTTAACACTATTGCTCCACCATGCCCCACATGTTTTGTTTTTTATGTCACAATTTACATCTTTTTTTATTGCGTATCCCTTAACAAAGTATTGTAGCTATTATTATTTTTAGTAGTTTCATCTCATCTTCATAGTATGAATATAAGTGATCTATCACTTATATTCATAGTATGAATATAAGTGATCTAATCTCAACCACCATTAGATTATTGAGTATTCTGAATTTCACTGCATCTTTATTTTACCAGTGAGTTTTATACTTTGATAAATTTTCATGTTAATAATTAATATTCTTCTATTTCAGCTTGAAGAACTCCCTGTAGCATTTCTTATAAGACAGGCCTGGTGGTGATCAAATTCCTCAGCTGACGTTAAGTCTGGGAAAGTCTTTCTTTCTCCTTCATTTCTAAAGGACAGCTTTACCAGGCAATATATTCTTAATTGACAGGTTTTTTTTTCCCCCCTGCAGCACATTGAATACATCATCCAACTTTCTCCTGGCCTGTAAGGTTCTGCTGAGAAATCTGCTTCTAGCCTTATTGAAACTTCCTTATATGTTATTTTCTTCATTTCTCTAGCTGCTTTCAGGATCCTCTCTTTGTCTTTGATTTTTTGTGGGTTTTTTTTTTTTTTTGCGGGGGAGGGGGTTGTTTGTTAGTTTCTCGGGTTTTGTGTTTATTTTTCCTTTTGTTTCTTTTTTGTTTATTTGTTTTGTTTTTTGAGACAGGGTTTAGCTCTGTCATCCAGGCTGGAGTGCAGGGGCACGATCTTGGCTCACCACAGCCTCAACCTCCCAGGCTCAAGTGACCCTGCCATCTCAACCCCCTGAGTAGCTGGGACTACAGGTGCATATCACCACACCTGGCTAATTTTCGTATTTTTATATTTTCATTTTTTGTAGAGACAGGGTCTTGCCATGTTGCCCAGGTTGGTCTCAAACTCCTAGGCTCAAGTGATTTGCCTGCCTTGGCATCCCAAAGTGCTGGGATTACAGGCATGAGCCACTGCACCTGGCCTTCTTTGTCTTTTGATTTTTGACAGTTTGATTACCTGTCTTGGGGTAGTCTAGTTTAGATTGAATCTGATCAGAAAACTTTGACTTTCCTGTAGTTGGATATTTATCTCTTTCCCTTGATTTGGACATTTTCTGCTAGTATTCTTTAAATAAGTTTTCTGCTTTTTTGTCTTTCTATTCTCCTTCTTGAACTTCTGCAACTTGAATATTTGCCATTTTGATGCTTTCCCATAAATCTCATATGCTTTCTTCTTTCCTTGTTATTCTGTATTCTTTTTCTCCTCTGATGGTATATTTTCAAATAACCTGTCTTCAACTTCACAATTTTTCTTCTGCTTAAGACTTTTTTTAAATTTTTTCATCTTAATTTGTGAGGGTATATAGTAGGTGTATATATTTATGTGGTACATGAGATGTTTTGGTATAGGCATGCAATGCACAATAATCATTTCATGGAAAATGAGGCGTCCATCCTTTCAGGCATTTATCCTCGTATTACAATCTAATTATACTTTTTAGTTACTTTTAAACGTACAATTACATTATTTCTCACTATAGTCACGCTGCTGTGCTATCACATATTCTTTCTATTTTTTGTACCCATTAACCATCCCCACTCCCCTATCCCAAATCCCCTACTACCCTTCCCAGCCTCTGGCAACTATCCTCCTACTTTCTATCTCCATGGGTTCAATTGTTTTGATTTTTAGATTCCACAAATAAGTGAGCACATCCAATGTTTATCTTTCTGTGCCTGACTTATTTCACTTAGCATAATGACCTCCATTTCCACCCATGTCATTTGCAAATGACAGGATCTCATACCTTTTATGGCTGAATAGTACTCCATTGTGTATAAGTACCACATTTTTTTTATCCATTCATCTGTTGATGGACACTTAGGTTGCTTCCAAGTCTTAGATTCTGAACAGTGCTGCAACAAACATAGAAGTGCAGATATGTCTTTGATATACTGATTTCCTTTATTTGGGGTATATACCTAGCAGTGGGATGGCTGGATCATATGGTAGGTAGCTTGATTTTTAGTTTTCTGAGGAATCTCCAAACTGTTCTCCAAGGTAGTTGTGCTAATTTACATTCCCACCAACAGTGTACAGGGTTCCCTTTTCTCCACATCCTCGCCAGCGTTGTTATTGCCTGTCTTTTGGATATAAGCCATTTTAACTGGAGTGAGATGATATCTTATTGTAGTTTTGATTTGCATTTCTCTGATGATCAGTGATGTTGAGCACCTTTTCATGTGCCTGTTTGCCATTTGTATAGCTATTCGAATCTTTTGCCCCTTTTTTAATCAGATAATTAGATTTTTTCCTATAGATTTGTTTGAGTTCCTTATGTATTCTGGTTATTAATCCCTTGTCAGATGGGTAGTTTGCAAATAGTTACTCCCATTCTGTGGGTTGTCTCTTCACTTTGTTGATTGTTTCCTTTGCTGTGCAGAAGCTTTTTAACTTGTTGTGATTCTGTTTGTTCATTTTTACTTTCATTGCCTGTGCTTATTAGATATTATTCAAGAAATTTTTGTCCAGAACAATGTCCTGGAGTTTCCCCAATGTTTTCTTGTAGTTGTTTCATAATTTCAGGTCTTATATTTAAGTCTTTAATCCATTTTGATTTGATTTTTGCATACAGTGACAACTAGGAGTCTAGTTTTATTCTTGTGCATATGGTTATCCAGTTTTCCCAGCACCACTTATTGAAGACACTGTCTTTTCTCCAGTGTATGTTCCTGGCACCATTATCAAAAATTAGTTTATGGTAGGTGGTGGATTTCTTTCTGGGTTATCTATTCTGTTCCATTGGCCTATGTGTCTGCTTTTATGCCAGTACTGCTGTTCTGATCACTAAACCTCTATAGTATAATTTGAAATCAGGCAACATGATTCCTCTAGTTTGTTCTTTTGGATTAAGAAAGTTTTGGCTCTTGTGGTTCCATATCAATTTTAGGATTTTTTTTTCTATTTTTGTGAAGAATGTCTTTGGTATTTTGATAGGGATTGCACTGAGTCTGTGGATTGCTTTGGATAGTATGGACATTTTAATAATATCAATTCTTCCAATCCATGAACATGGAATATCTTTCCATTTTTTGGTGGCCTCTTCCATTTCTTCCATCAGTGTTTTATAGTTTTCATTATAGAGATCCTTCACTTCTTTGGTCAAGTTAATTTCTAGATATTTAATTTTATTTATGGCTATTGTAAATGGTATTACTTTTTTATTTCTTTTTTAGATTGTTCACTCTTGATATATAGAAATGCTGCTGATTTTTATATTTTGGTTTTGTATCCTGTAACTTTACTGAGTTTGTTTATCAGTTCTAACAGCTTTTCTGTGATGTCCTTAGGTTTTTCAAATAGAAGATCATACTATCTGCAAACAAGGATAATTTGACTTCTTTGTTACCAATTTGGATGCCCTTTATTTATTTTTCTTGTCTAAGTTCTCTAGCTAGAATTTCTAGTACTATGTTAAATAACAGGGATGGTGGTGGGCATCCTTGTCATGTTCCAGATCTTAGAGGAAAGGCTTTCAGTATTTCCCATTCAGTATACTAGCTATGAGTCTGTCACATATGACTTTTATTATGTTGTGGTATGTTCCTTCTATTGCCAGTTTTTTGAGGGTTTTTATCATAAAGCAATGTGAAATTTATCAAATGCTATTTCAGCATCAATTGAAATGATTACATAGGTTTTGTCCTTTATTCTGTTTATATGATACCTCACACTGATTGATTTGTGTATGTATATTGAACCATCCTTGCATCTTAGGGATAAATCTCACTTTGTCATGAATCATCTTTTTAACATATTGCTAATTTCAGTTTGCTAGTTTTTTTTGTTTTTGTTTTTGTTTTTTGAGACAGAGTCTCACTCTGTTGCTCAGGCTGCAGTGCAGTGGTGCGATCTTGGCTCACTGCAACCTCTGCCTCCTGGGTTCAAGCAATTCTCCTGCCTCAGCCTCCAAAGTAACTGGAACTACAGGCATGCACCACAACACCTGGCTACTTTTTGTATTTTTAGTAGAGACAGCATTTTGCCATGTTGGCCCGGCTGGTCTCGAACTCCTGACTCAAGTGATCCACCCACCTCAGCCTCCCAAATAGCTGGCATTGCCCAGCCAGTTTGCTGGTATTTTGTTGAGGATTTTTTGATCAATATTCATTGGAGATATTGGCCTATGGTTTTCTTTTTTTTGATGTTTCTTCGTCTGGTTTTGGTATCAGGATAATACTGGCCTGGTAGAATGACTTTGGAAGTATTCCCTCCTCCTCTACTTTTTGGAATATTTTGAATAGGATTGTTATTAGTTCTTCTTTAAATGCTTGATACAAATCAGCAGTGAAGACATCAGGTCATGGCTTTTCTTTAGTGGGAGACTTTTTATTACAGCTTTGATCTCATCACTCATTCAGGTTTTGGATTTCTTCATGGTTCAATCATGGTAGGTTGCATGTGTCTAAGAATTTGTTCATTTTTTCGAGATTTTCCAATTTATTGCCATATAATTGCTCATAGTAGCCACTGGTGATCCTTTGAATTTCTGCGGCATCATTTGTAATGTCTTTTTTTAATCTCTGATTTTATTTCTTTGGATCTTTTCTCTTTTTTTCTAAGTTAGCCTGGCTAAAGATTTGTCAATTTTGTTTAACTTTTCAAAAAACTTTTAAAACAGTTTCAATGAAATTCTTTGTTTCATTGATCTTTTGTATTGCTTTCTTCATTTCAATTTCATTTATTTCTGCTCTGATCTTATTGTTTCTTTTCTTTTACTAATTTTGGGTATAATTTGTTCTGGCTTTTCTCATTCTTTAAGATGCATAGTTAGGCTATTTATCTGAAGCTTTTCTTCTTTGTTGATACAGACACTTATAGCTATAAACTTCCCTCTTAGTACTGCTTTTACTGTGTCCAATGGGTTTTGGTATGTTGTATTTTCATTATCATTTGTATCAAGAAATGTTTCAATTTCCTTCTTAATTTCTTCACTGGTCATTCAGGAGCATATTGCTTAATTCCATGTATTTGTATAGTTTTCAAAATCCCTCTGTTATTGACTTCTAGTTTCATTCTATTATTGTCAGAGAAGATACTTAATACTATTGCAATTTTTTGAATGTTTTAAGACTTGCTTTGTGACCTAACATATGGTCTATTCTTGAGAATGATCCATGTGCTGAGGAAAAGAATGTTTATTCTGCAGTCGTTGGATGAGAAGTTCTGTAAATGTCTTTTAGACCCATTTGGTCTATAGTGCAGGTTAAGTCCAACATTTCTTTGTTGATTTTCTGTCTAGAAGATGTGTATAATGCTGAAAGTGGGGCATTGAAGTCTCCAGCTATTATTGTATTGGGGCCTATCACACTCTTTAGCTCTAATAATATTTGCTTTATATATCCAGGTGCTCAGTGTTGGATGTGTATATATTTAAATTGTTATATCCTCTTGCTGAATTGATTCCTTTATCATTATATAGTGACCTTCTTTGTCTCTTCTCATGGTTTTTGCCTTGAAATTTATTTTGTCTGATGTAACTATAGCTACTCCTGCTCTTTTTTGGTTTCCATCGGCACAGAGAATCTTTTCCCATCTTTTTATTTTCAGTCTGTATGTGTCTGTTTTTTTGTTTGTTTGTTTGTTGTGTTTTTGTTTTTGTTGTTTTTGAGACAGAGTTTCGCTCTTGTTGCCCAGGCTGGAGTGCAATGGTGTGATCTCGCCTCACCACAACCTCCGCCTCCTGGGTTCAAGTGATTCTCCTGCCTTAGCCTCCTGAGTAGCTGGGATTACAGGCTTGTGCCACCACACCCAGCTAATTTTGTATTTTTAATACAGACGGGGTTTCTCCATATTGGTCAGGCTGGTCTCGAACTCCCAACCTCAGGTGATCTGCCTGCCTCAGTCTCCCAAAGTGCTGAGATTACAGGCATGTGCCACCATGCCCCGCCTATATGTGTTTTTAGAGGTGAAATGTGTTTCTTGTAGGCAACAGAACACTGAGTCTTGTTTTGTTTTGTTTTTAATCTATTCAGCCACTCTGTGTTCTTTGATTGGAGAGTTTAGCCCATTTACATTTAATGTTATTATTGATAAGTAAGGACTTATTCTGCCATCTTGCTATTTGTTTTCTGGGTGTTTTGTGGTCTTCTCTTCCTTCTTTCTTTTCTTCCTGTCTTCCTTTTAGTGAAGATGATTTTCTTTGATGAATTTATTTCATTTCCTGTTTTTTATTTTTTCTGTATCTTTTGTATATTTTTTGGTTTGAAGTTACCATGAAACTTGCAAATAGTTTCTTACAACCCATCATTTTAACCTGGTAACAACTTAGCACTGTTTGCATAAACAAGCAAAAAGAAAACTAATGAAGACTCTATGCCCTAACTTTATTCCTCTGCTTTTTAACTTTTTCTTGTCTCTGGTTATATCTTATTGGACTCTCTATGTCTTGAAAAGTTGTTATAGTTATTGTTTTTTATTGGTCCATTGCTCAGTCTTTCTACTTAAGATAAGAGTAGTTTACATATCACAGTTATGGTGTTATAATGTTCTGTGTTTTGAGGTACTTACTATTACCAGTGAGTTTTGTACCTTCAGATGATTTTATTTTGCTCACTAATGTCCTTTTCTTTGTGACTGAAGTGCTCCCTTTAGCATTTCTTGTAGGACAGGTCTGGTGTTGTTGAAATCTCTCAGCTTTTGTTAGTCTAAGAAAGTCTTTGTTTCTCCTTTACATTTGAAGGGTATTTTCACCAGATACGCTATTCCAGGGTAAAAGGTTTTTTCTTCAGCACTTTAAATATGTCATGCCACCCTTTCCTGACCTATAAGGTTTCCACTGAAAAGTGTGTTGCCAGATGTAGTGGAGCTCCATTGTATGTTATTTGTTTCTTTTCTCTTGCTTTTCTTTTAGAATCCTTTCTCTATTCTTTACCTTTAGGAGTTTAATTACTAAATGCTTCAAGGTGGTCTTCTTTGGGTTAAATCTGCTTAGTGTTTGAGAATATTCTTGTACTTGGATATCAATATCTTTCTCTGGGTTTGAGAAGTTCTCTGTTATTATCCCTTTGAATAAGCTTTCTACCCCTACCTCTTTCTCTACTTCCTCTTTAAAGCCAATAACTCTTGATTTGCCTTTTTGAGGCTATTTTCCCAGTTTTATAGGTGTGCTTCACTGTTTTTTTTCTTTCCTTTGACTGTGTATTTTCAAATAGCCTGTCTTCAAGCTCACTAATTCTTTCTTCTGCTTGATAAATTCTAATATTAAAGGACTCTAAAGCATTCTTCAGTAGGCCAGTTGTGTTTTTCAGCTCTAGAATTTCTGCTGGATTCTTTTTAATTATTTCAGTCTCTTTGTTAAATTTACCTGAAAGAATTGTGAATTCCTTCTCTGTGTTATCTTGAATTTCTTTGAGTTTTCTCAACACAGCTATTTTGAATTCTCTGTCTGAAAGGTCACATAGCTGTTTCTCCAGGATTGGTCTCTGGTGCCTTATTTAGTTCATTTGATGAGGTTATGTTTTCCTGGATGGTGTTGATGCCTGTTGACATTCTTTGGTGTCTGGGCATTGAAGAGTTAGGTATTTATTGTGGTTGTCTCAGTCTGGGATTATTTGTACCTGACCTTATTGGGAAGGCTTTCCAGATATTCAGAAGGACTTGGGTGTTGTGATCTAAACTGTATCCACTTTAGGGGGCACCCCAAGACCAGTAACATTGTGCATCTTGCAGACTCATATAGGCACCACCTTGGTAGTCTTGGACAAGATTCAGAATAATTATCTGGATCACCATGCAGAGATTCTTGTTCTCTTCCTTTACTTTCTCCCAAATGAATGAAGTCTCTCTGTTCTGAGCCGCCTCGTACTGGGGATGGTGCGACACAAACACCCTTATGGCTGCCACAACTGGAACTGCACTGGGTCAGACCTGAAGCCAGCACAGCACTGGGTCTCACCCAAGGCCTGCTGTAACCACTTCCTGGCTACAGCCTATACTTGCTCAAGTCCCTGGGGCTCTACAATTAGCAGGTAGCAAAGCCAGCTAGGCCTGTGTCCTTCCCTTCAGGGTGGCAAGCTCCCCAGTCCCTGGGCATGTCCAGACGTGCTGTCCAGGAACCAGGAGCTAGAGTAAAAACCTGAGACGTCTACCTGGTATTCTCTTGCACTGTGGCTGAGATGGCTCTTAAATCATAAGATGTAGTCCTTCCCACTCTTCCCTCCTCTTTCTAAAGCCAGAGAAGCCTCACCTCATGACCACCACCACAGACCCAAGGGAATACTGCCAGGCTATCACTGATGTTCCTTTCTGGCCCAAGGTTTCTCTGGTCAGCTTGTGGTAAATGCTGCTTGGCCTGGGACTTATCCTTCAGGGAAGTGGGCTCCCCACTGGCCCAGGGCAGGTCAAGAAATGCAGTCCAAGAGCCAAGTCTTGGAATGGGGGACCTAAAGGGTCTGCTTGGTGCTCTAACCCCTGTGGCTGAGCTGATACCTAAGGTGTGAAACAAAATCCCCTTTGTTTTCCCTCCACTTTTCTCAAGTGGAAGGAGTCTTGCCCCATAGCCATTGTATCTGGGAATGTGCTGAGTCTTGCCTGAGGCCAACAAGTCTCAGAGGTTCACCTAAGGCCTTTGATATAGTACCTGGATATCTCTGCTGGTTATTCAGAGCCCAAGGGCTCTTCAGTTAGCAGATGGTAAATCCTGCCAGGGCTGGGTTCTTCTTTTCAAGGCTGCAGATTCTCTTCTGGCCTGGGGTGTATCCAGAAATGCCATCTTGGAGCTAGGGCCTAGAAAGGGAGCCTCATGACTCAGACTGGTGCCCTATTCTGCTGTGGCTGAGCTGGTATCCAAGATGAAAGCAAAAGTCCTCCCCACTCTTCCCTCTCCTCTCCTCAAGTGAAGGGAAAAGGTCACTTTTGATGCCATGAGCTGTGCAGCCTGGTGTTAGGGGAGAGGTGAAGCTAACATTCCCTTAGCTACCCTGGCTGGTGTCTCAGTAGGTTGTGTGCCCGCCACCCAGCCACCGTCTCTGGACCCAATTTGGCACTAGAACTTGTCTAGGAGTTGCAGTCCTTGTGGCCTAGACTGCCTTTCAAGCTTATTTAGAGCCCCAGAGCACTTTAGCCCATTAGCGAGGATTGCAGAAGCTCAAGTTTAGACCACTGGGATCTGTGATTTCCCTCTGGCTAGAGCTGCTTTGAATGCTCCCTCTGTGGGTGGGTGTCAGCTGAATTTGGTCCAGTTTTGTTTTCTGTTATAATAGGGCAGCACTGTGTTCAATGCCTGATAAATGCTGTGATCTTCCTCTCTCCAGTGCACTGAAAGCCTCTCTGCACCATGCCACCCCTGCTTGGGGATTGGGCAGGAGTGGCATTGGTGATTCAAGACTGCTTTTCCTACCATCTCAATGCCTCTTTCAGTGATATAAAGTTAAAACCAGGTATTGTGAGTACTCACCTAAGTTTTGGTGTTTATGAAAGTGATTTTTTATATAGATAGTTGTTAAATTGGTGTCCTTGCAGAGGGGACAATCTGTGGAGGTTTCTATTCCACCATCTTGCTCTCCTTGATTAATTCTGTTGTTGACACTCTTTGCTGCATTTTTAAATTTCATTCACTATAATTTTCAGCTCCAGAATTTGTTTGATTTTTTTTCTTGTAGTTTCAATCTCTCTCTTACATTTATAATTTTGGTCATTTATTCTTTTCCTAATTTCATTGAATTATTTTTCTCTTTTTTCTTGAAGTTCACTCAACTTCCTTTATTCAGTCATTCTGAATTCTTTGTAATGCAGTTTGCATATTTTAATTTCTTTGGGGTCAGCTACAGGAAGGTTATTGTGTTCTTTTGGTAGTGTTATGTTTTCTTGGTTTTTTATGTTTTTTGTCTCATAGTGATGTCTACACATTTGGTCAAGTGGACACCTCTTTCAGACTTTACATGATAGTTTTGCTGCAGGTAGACCGTCTCCAATGGTAGGGGGATGGTCTGAGGGCACTTGCTGGGTGGAGCACAGTAATTCTGGCACAAGTGAAGGGGAAGCTGTGTAGTCTCTGTGCAGCTTTGTCAGCTGAGGTTGGTGTTGACAAAAATTGCAGGAATCCTCAGCAGCCAATGCTCTGGATGTCTGCAGTGGGGTCCTCAGTGGCAATGGCCGCTAAGAACCTCCTGGTCTTTTTCTCCCACTGGGGATGTTGTGGCTGAGGCATCCCTCTTGGCTCTGGGTCTGGCTTGTGTACCCTCTCACAGTGGTCATGCTACCAATGACTGATAAGTGGATCATCCATGGAGCTGAGGCCTGAAGCACAGGCACATATGGAAGAATAACAGCTCCAGGATCCACAGAAGTAAAGGCATTGGTGCTTGGAGCACAGGCATCTCACTGCTGTGGTGGTAATACTATGTAAAGTACATAGCTTGTAAAGCAGCTGGGAGGCTGAGAATGGGAGGACAGGTGTGTGCAGAGTTAAAGTGGCTCCAGTATAGAGCCTAGCTCTCTACAGTGGCTGAGCCAGCACCAAGAGCATGGGCATAGGTAGGAAGAACTTTGCTCCAGGGCCCAAAGTGAAAATTAATTCACTGTGGTGATGCCTCCAGTATCGGATATGTGGGCAGGCACAAAGCAGTCACAGAGCTTGGGTGTGGAGTGAAGGCAATCTCAGGGGAGCCACAGCTTGGGGGTCAGGGCCCACACAAAGTTGAAAGATGTGGCTGCTCCTTTTCCAAAGCAGCTTCATGGCAACTGCTTCTTGATGGGTGAAGGAGAGGGTATAAAGCCATGTCTCCTTCTCCAGAGCTAACCAGGAGAAATGGCTGTTGGTTGCCTCAGTAGCAAGAGATATTGGTGTCCTGTGCAGAGCAGGCTGCTGTGACCATGGTGGCTTCTGCAGAGTGGCTGATACAGATAGCTTCTGCCTTTTTCTTTGTTATTGGCTGTCTTCCAGAGTCACATGTAGGCCAGTATCACCAGCAATGCTTCCTATGTGGATGGATATGCTCCATATTTTTTGCTCTACCACATTGCTACAGATTCTTTGATGAGCACTTGAGGTCTGTATTTTGGTTTGTAGATAGCTGTCTATATTTGTTTTTTTGTGTGGGGGAATGAAGGCTTATATCTCCCACTCTGCTATCTTGGTGATGTCACCCTAGTTTACTTTCTTACAAGCCTAAATCTGGTTGTGGAATGATAGTGGCACTTATTGAATTTAATTAAACTGAATCTGCAGAAGTTCCCTAATGGTTACCTCTTTGTAGTAAGACTGCCTGGGCTATAGGCATTTTCTGATTTTTTCCCCTAAATGAATCCTGTCATTAAGGTTTTTTTTTAATCCTAAAATGAATCATCCTAGAGTGTCCACTCCCCTGCTCCCACTTGAATACACAAATGGATACTTGTTTGTTGAGTTTCTTTCCTACAGATTATGTGGTACACAAAATGCATGGTACACGAAATGCATGAGGAATTGTTCCTGTCCTAAAAACTGATCATCCGTTTGACAGACAGAATATACACATGAAACAGTTAGAGAATAGCTTAAGACAGCATGAAATAAAATGCATTACACACCATGCATCTCATGTAAAATGCTGCCAGTAGAGAACGCCCAGCTTTTTCTCACATATGCAGACTGATCAGTAATCCCCTGCAACTTACAGGATGCCCAAAAGTCCCTCCAACACTGCCACAGAACCTGAAGCCTCCCCCTGGAAACTTGATTATTTCAGAATCAAGTCATTGACATTTCAGGAATATTTATTGAAAATATCAACATCCCTAGGATAAGTCACTCAAAGATCTGTATCCAGTCTTGGTCCTTAGGTAAAATTAGCCTATCAAATTTCTTCCAGCTGGGTCAGCCAGGAGGTTAGAGTCACAGAACAAGTGAAATGTGTGATGGGAGGAATAAGGAGGGTGCATTCTGGGCTCAAGGCTTTTGGACAGAGAAAGCCAGGCCTAAGTGAACCATCACACTGAGGGGTCCAGGGTAGACAAAGAGCTTTGAGGTCCAGAATAGGTAGGAATATGAGAAGGGAGAATCACAAGAGGAAGGGAGTGGGCACAGGATATGAACTTCCAACTTTGCAAATTTATGCAAGACTCTTTCTCACCTAGTTTTGACCTTCCTCCGAGGTTCTCTGTGGCCAGACCTATGAAGCCCAGCTTGAGACTCATGATCATTTTTCCTCTTAGAATTACGCTGATCACTTTCCTACTGCTGTGGTTGCTGCAACATCTGGCCAGGATGCTTTCTCTCATCACTTCAGGGGCACTTCCAGGAAGCTGTAGGCTTCAGGAGTGAGGGAAAGGTGAGGAGGGTTGTGTGGAGGCCACAGTCCAGCAGAATCAATGAGCTGGCTTTGCCTCTGCCCCTGCCCCTGCAGACCCTCCCTGCTACAGCTCCTGTCTGGTCTAAGGACTTCTCTGCTACACCAGAGAAATCCATCTCCTCTTCCTCACATGTATTCCCAAGATTTGCTACACAGATGGAACCCCCCAGCAGGTGTCAGAATCCTCCAGTTCCTGGCTACTGTCTCATTCTCTCAGGGGAGGTGCCCCGGTGTCTGCCTGGGGTTGAGCCCTGGCTCTGCCATTTATTACCTCAGTGATCTGAGGCCTCAGCTTCCTCATCTGTAAAAAGAATAGTACTGATGTCCCACTTACAGAGCTACATATAAAGAGTTCAGCATCTTTATTATAGTAAGTACATACATAGTCAATCCAAAATCAATGTTCACTACTATTATTACCACTGTGACTACTCCAATTAATTATCCAATTAACAAGTGCTAATTAAGAAGCTACTTTGTTCCCACCATTGGGCTGAGAATAAAACACTCCACCAAAATGAACAACGATAATGATAAAATAATGGTTTTCATTATGAGTGCTAATTTTGTGCCAGGCACTGTGCTAAAGACTTTTAGTAATTTGTATTGTCTTCTTTACTCTTCCAAACCAAAACTCTGGGAGTGACAGGTAGGGAGAGAGGAGGGAGTGGGATATAAACTTAGAATCTCCCTTTCACAGACAGCCTTTGCAGAAAGTCCAACTTATTCCCAGGAATGGCCAAGTCTTTCTCAGAGCTGGGATGCAATCTCCCTCACCCAGTCGCACACCCCTGGGCCCTGCCTACAACAGTCCAGGGAAGCACCTTTAGCCCTCCTTTACTTCTTTTTGAATCTTCTACCAGCCTGCTTTCCTGTCTCCCCTTCCACTCCCATCTAATCAATGTAGAAATGGCCTCTCATTTCACTTCTGAGAAGCCATTTCCTGTCATCTCTTTAAAGTCTACCGCTTTCCCACTGACTGTCTCTAATAAGCAGAAAGCAAATGTCTAGCCCTCCTTGTCAGCATAATTAGGAAACTGCTTCCTCTGGACGTGCCTGAAGTCCCTATGTTGCTAAGAGCAAGACTCTTCATGTTTTGCCATTTGGGACGTAACTGTTTTGGTGAGCAGTGTGCAAATCAGTTTTTAACACCAACATTCTGGTCTAGTCTTTGAGACAGGAAAAAGATGAAAATACATATGTTTCCACATTTTAGGGTAGAAAACCCAGTCTGTGGTTTCCCTGGCACTGCTTGTGGTACCATTGAGACCTTCAAGCCATGCAGCCCCATAGGTATACTGTTCCTTATTTGCTAACCTGGTGTTCAAAATAAAAAGACTGGTTTCCTTAGTAGCATTTGATTTTGATTTTACTGAAACTTGTGTGGTTAAAAACGTTCTTATACTATTAGTATGTGACCTTTAAGATATTTGTCAGGAAAAAAAATCTCATAAGAGTAGAACCTTGTTTCCCAACTGAGTCTCTTTTCACTTCAGAAATGGAGTCCCTTAAAATGATCCCTTCCCAACTATACCCTGAAATCTTCAAACCCCTATTTTCTCTTCTTCCCACTTCAAGAGAAATTTTGGGTCACATGTCCCATTACTCCAAATGGTAGATACTGGCCAGCAACAATTTTTCTAAGTTTCATACCTTGCCTGACTTTTTTTGTGTCAACCAACCTGAGCTCATGGGCCATGGGCATGAAATAGCAGCAGCTGTAGTAGCAGTAGCCACAAAATGTATCAATAAAAGATGAAAAATGACATTTAAACAAAGAACAAACCAGAATAAAATGATCAGTTCATTCCTGTCTGACATGCACATCAGTTAAGAATCTAATAACCTGATGCCTTTGGAAAGATGCAAAGTCTCAGATGTTGGGACCACTGTTTGAAAGTCATATGGACATTTGTCTGGGGGTGCTTGTTCAGTAATTCATGGTGTGTCCTTCTTGGTTGCTGTGTCCTTTGAGTATGTGTTTTCTGATTTACCTCTGGTAACCCTGAGTCAGGAATTAAAGTAGAGAAAGAACTCAGGGAAACAATAATCGATTTTTAACTACATTATGACAAACTGTCTTCACTGATGTTATTCCTTCAATTGGCCGGTGTTACATTGTCCTGGTGTCTTCTAGACATGGTCACACTTGCAGACTAATACAGCTATGAGGTCTGGCCCCTTCAGTTACATCCAATTCAACCCAGTATATTACCCTAGGGAAACTGACAGTGGGGATTTCCTAACTCCTGAGCCAGAGTTTCCAACATGTCATTTTCCAGTTACTCAGCATTTTCTACTCTAGTGATAGTCCCTAAACTTACTGATTAAAAACAAAAATAGCTAAGCCCCAATTACCCAGAATTCCTGGTGCCCCTAACCCACCCAAGATCAGTTACTCATATTGATGATTCTTGTTACCCCAGAGTTTTCAGTGCCTTCTACATAGTACCCTCAATGAGAGAAAAATATTAATTTGAAAATATTTGAAATGATCTTGTCAAACTCCTTGGAAGATTAATCATATGCCATTGATTAGAAACCAGAGAAAAGCAAGGCTGCAAAATTATGGCTTCATGCATGCACAGGTGTGGAAGTTTCCATAAAATTCTATTAGTCCAATGGTCATAGGGCTGAGTGGGTGATAGCCATCTCCCCACCCTCCAAGTAATTTTGGAAATGTACTGTGAGCAACTCTGATTGTCACAATAATTTCGTAGGTTCTACTGGAGTATTGTGGGTGGGGAAGTCAATGAGGTTAGAACTCCTGCAATGCATGAGACAGTTTTGTGCAATGAAGAATTGCCCCATGTCTCATGCAATTTACACACATAATTTATCTTAATTTATACAGTGGCCCTGTAGGTAGTGTATTTATCTCCATCTGGCAGATTATAATGGAGGTTAATGGGGAGCCTTCATCTTCCCTACCTGCTTGAAAATCTCTATCCCTAGAACTAATCATTTTGGTTCAACGTATGCAGACAATATTCCTCCCTCAATTTTTCTAGATTGTTCACATCTCCATGGGGCATATGCAGGGACCTCTAGAGACCCCACTACAACATCTAAGATAATTCTCCACCTAAAGTAGTGAAAAATCATGTTGGACACCAGAAAGCTCTTAGCAAGGCTCAATAATTAATTACTGATGTTATTTTCACATGGAAAGAAATATTCTTGGTAAATCAGAATAAATTTCTTGAAACTTCATGTAAAATTCATAATTGTGTTAAGGTAATTTTGAGCCACTGTCTGTGTATGCCGTTCTGTGGGATACACAGAGTATACCTTTGTGAGGCTCCAGGGACATTCTTTCCACTTCGTACTTCTTTTTAAATCACAAGGTAAGATCTTATGAGATGCAAAGATTAATTTGTTTTCCTCCACCAACTTAAATTTTTCTCCCTTTCTTTACTACCTGTAGGATTTTAGCACTGAATAAATAATAGGCTTGAAGGTGAACTATTTTCATGAGCCCATATGCATTAGGACAAAAACTGAATTCTATGGTTTAACCAGGACATAATATACATCAATATGGTCTTTGAATGGCTTACAAAGGAAAAAAAACATTTCCTGGGTTATTGGAAGCAGCATGGTGTCAAAGTAGTTAAACAGATTCTATCTCTGTGGTCAAGTACCAGTGCTGTAAAATCACATGAGGTTGAAAAAGAGGAATAAAAATGGAATTTGCTTACCCACACATACCCTAATGACCAAACATTGTAAGTAAACTGAATTGGGCAATTACTATGTTAGTGACTGGTGAAATACTCCCATTGAATTGATTGGTCCTGTTCTTGCTCCTCCCATGGGGTACATGCCTGGTTGTGTACCCCCAACTCAGAGACAAAAAAGTTTGCTTTCCCTTCAGTCAGCGTACTACACTTTCCCCTGTTTGAAACTTATTCTGCTGTGGCTTCTTTGTTTATTTCATGTCATCTGCTCTTCAAAAATAAAGACAACTCTCACTTCACCAGTCTAAGATAAAGTAGAACCACCCACACAACCATGAAACACTACAGTATATGTGTTTAGCATTTTTTCAAAAAGTGTTTTGTGACACACAATATTGGCTCTTTTTCCCTGCACCTGAAGGCCTAAATTATAGAACATTAGTTTGCTGGGTCTCTATTAGTTCACCAATGGATGCTGATGTCTCAATTTTTCAAAAGCTTTCCAGTGACTTATGCAAAGCCCTCAGGAAAACTGAGTAGCAAATAGGATTAGCATATTTGTAAAGACCCAGAAGTAATGCATTAACATGCTGAGGTGTCATAAGCCCCAATGAATATGTTGATAATTAGTGCTTCTTAGAGAGCAGCTAGATCACCTTCCTCCATGCTAATGATGTGCAAATAATCCTTGGTGAATCTGAACATCTGCTAGTGGGTGTCCCCAAGCAGGATGCAATGACAGGAGACAGATTTATCAACATTGCTGTTGGATTCCACCAAAAACATACTCCAGCCCATAAAACCTTCTATCAGGCATAATCATATTCCTAGCCATAATTTTGCTATTGTTTGCAATCCTATTTTTTTTCTATCTATACTAATTAAAGTCTTGGTGCACCCAAAGTAGTTTGTATAAATTACATGAACTCATAAAAATTTCAGTGTTCATTTGACATGAATCGTTAATACCACTTTTTTGGATGGTTAAAGAGCAAGTGCATTGTTTTTTTAATTGCCACTACGGCAGTGAATGAGAGTATCAACTATATTTGTTAAAATGTAAACAGAAAAACAAAACAAAATCATATTCTAGTGTTTGGTGAGATAATAACAGATTTTTCCAGCCTGAAATAGAGTTTGTTTCCCAGAATCTTCTGGTGAAAATGGAAGCACATGTCCCTTAGAATAATGCTCTTTGTGTCAGTCTAGGTGACACATGGTTACTTTGCTCAAGTAGAAGCTGGCTAACCTCCAGATAGCGACTCCATTATGGGACATATGATTCTCTCTGTTCCAGCTTTGTGACCCCAGAGCTCCCCAACTTATCCTCCCCCATCACCTTATTTCCAGTTTCCCCTAGTATTTTCGGCCAGAAGAGTTCTTGATTAATCTGAGGGTTAGGGTAGAACTTGCTCCTCTAGCTCAGGATGCTTTCTCTTAAATTGTTTGTCTATATTATAAGTCTTTTTTATTTTTTAACATCCTAGGCTTTTGAAAGTGGAGACCTAGTTTTTCTCCATTTTCCATTGTTATATCAGTTCTCCTTGACAACTAGCACAGAATGGCCTATTTCAATGGGAGGGATGGTCCAAGATCAAACAAATACAGAGGAAAAACAATGAGTTGAAAATTCGAAACAATTCCACTACAAATTCTTAACATGAACCACAAAATCCTTCTGAAGGCAATATTTGAGAATAAGCACTAACAAGATTTAAATTCATGAAATTAGATCTTAATTGATTATTTAAGCATCAGAGAAGTTTAAGAAACAGAAAAATCTACTACATTTCATTATCTCCTACAATTCATGAATCTGGCACCCAGAATATTACAAGGCTCCTTCCAGAAACTATGTTAGTGTCATAGCTCACATTTACACAGAACTTTGCCATTTGAAGTCACAAATATTATGTCATTTGATCCTGAGTTAGTCAAAGTCACATAGATGGTGAGAGTGACAGTGTCAGATCTCCAAAAATACTTGGTATTTCTGAAAAGCAATTGCCCTCTAAAAATCATAACCTCAATTAAATAGAGTGTTTATCCAAACATGATCACTGATTCATTTGGACTTCTTACAAATCTTTTCACAATTTGTGTACCTTTTCTTATCTAAAGCATATCATCAGGCCCCTATATGTCATTTTCCCAGCTCTCTGTGGTTGTAGTCTCAGCCTGCTCAAACCCCTTTACCCCAGGTCTTGAGCAAATACTGATGATATGGGCAGGGCCCATAGCAGTCACATCAGTTTACATCCACAGCAGTTTAGCAAGGACCTGATGCAACAGAGAAGAGTCTGATGCTGTTTGGACCTCTCGAGCCCCAGGACTTCCTGCCCCTTCCTCTTCTCAAGCTGTTTCAGTGCATTTGATCAGGTATGCTGGTCAGTACTCAGATCCTCATCGCCCTTGTGTCAGTGCTTGCTCAAAAGGACTAGATGCCACCATGGGGACCCCGCTCACCAGTGGTGGCCTCGTCTTTTATAGATGGATTCCTCAAAATCACACTTGCCGCCCTTGTCTCCAAGATTTGGATCACGGTCTAGATGCTCCCACCCTTTCTCCTCAAAACTGCCACACCACAGTCTCACCAACCGCCAGGGTGCTCTGCCCTTTCGTGACCAAATCCCTGAAGCTAGGTGAGTTTTGCAAGCCCTATGCACGGCAGTCCCACTCCCTGATGATCCTAAGATGTAAGACCTCACAGAATTTACATTGGAGCCTAAGTAACAGTGCACCATGCCAAAGAAGACAGAGTTAAACTAAACACAATCCAGGGATTCTGACTTACTGACTTCTTTTGCAACTTGCTTCCTCTCTCAGTTCTTCTAGAAATGGAAAATTTTTCAGATCAAGAAAAACTGAACAGAACTTGCCAGAATGACGAAGCTAATGACAGTGATTCATTGATTTATTCAACAAAAATCACAATAATAATAATAGGCATTTACAGAGCATTGTTTCTCTTCCAAGCATTTTGTATGCATTTTATTTAATCTTCACAACAATCTTATCAATGAGGCTTGGAGACTATAAGTAACTTCCCTAAAGTTTCACAGCTAAAGAGATCTAAGTCTAACTGAATCCCAAACAAGTACAGCACGTGCTTGCTAGTTGCTCATGAGTATAATTTTACACTAGCCTATTACATATCCTTGGGGGTGGCCGTAACCAAGATGTCAATGGTTCTCTGATGTAACTTTACATCGCCACGGGGAAAGATGGCAGGCTTTTTCCCATGGTGCATTTTGCCAGTCACCAGTGGAAGGTGACCTCTGAAGGTCACCTTAATTGGAAACGGACTAGACCTTGCATGTGGAGAGAGAATTCTACTGAAGAAGGTCCTGCTGGTTGGGGCAGACAACTTCACACTGCTTGGCAAGCCACTCCTCAGAAAGGATCTTGTTTGAGTAGAAGCCATAGTCATTGAAAAGACAGAATCATGGACAAGAGTCATTATGAGATTTAGGAGAAGGAAAAGCTTCAAGAAGAAATAATTCATTGTGACCCCTCAGACCATCCTCCGGATAAACAGCATTGAGATTGCTCTGTGTTTGTTGTAGTCACCGAGTTAGTATTTGCAGAAATATAAAAATAAACTCTTGCTTTCCAAGGAAAAAAAGAATCTTGGGTATGGCCACCCCCAATAATGTGTAATGGGCTAGTGTAAAATTATACTAATGAGCAACTAGTGAGCACATGCTGTACTTAACAGCTCTTGTTCAGGATTCAGTTAGACTTAGATCTCTTTAGCTGCAAAACTTTGGGAATGTTATTTATAGTTTCCAAGCCTCATTGATAAGATTGTTGTGAAGATTAAATAGAATGCATATAAAATGCAGCTCAGTTGGTGAAGGCACTTTCACCTTTGATCCTTCATCACCATCTGCCCAAAAGAAGCCCTGTCATGGAGCAGCCAGATTCTCATTTTAGGTAAACAGAAAAGGATAAGGCACTTCTGGCCTTGTATTTTCTCCCAGAGCACTCAGATGCTGATTATATTACAGACAAATCAAGATTTCTCAACCCTCTTCAATTCTTTCAATCAATTATCCATTTAGTGTAACTATGTGATAATGTCTAACACATAAATTATCATGAAAAATGTGAAAGCTACTAAACTAAAAAAAAAAAAATTCTTTTTAGTAGCAAGGATTTTGTATGGGGAAGCCTGGCTTTGTGGGAAATGATTTGATAAACTTACACTGGAAACTGAACCTTAGGGAATGGATTCCATTCCAGTCAAATCTTCAAAGGAAAAGAGGAAGCTACTCTGGATAATAAGAGTGAAGAATTGGAAGTTCCTGGGAGGAAATCCTGGAAAGGAAAAGAAATTGGTACTGTGTAGAGGAAAGAGAAAACTCTCCCCTCTCCATGATGGTGCAGCTGAGGCAGAACTTTGGAAAAAGAAAATCTCTGGAATGCTGACAATCGTGTTTCCCTAAAAAACCCTCCGACACCTTCAGAAACTATTCTGAATTGCTGAGTATTAATGCTTTTGTGTGAGTATGTTATTTTGAGGAGTTAAGCTCTATGTCTTGATAAGAATGTATCAAAAATAGACCTCGCACATCAACCCAGGAGTCAGAGGTCACAAAGGAGACTGACAAATGGGTCATGGTGAGAACTATGACCACCCGTGTCCATATAGCTTAACTAGCAGAACTGAAGCTGAATGCCACCTTGGTCAAGATGACTTAAACAAACCAGTAAATAATTTCACTGCTTGCTTCAGAAAAGTATTGAAAATCATTTTATCTGAACAAATCGTTTGCTTAACTGGACAAACGACCTCCTTCTCAGGACAGTAGATTGCTCCCCTGAGTAAACAATTATCAAATGACTACTTATATGTCAAGAATTGCTTCAAGAACCTTGCCTTACATTTCCACCAGACCTAAATCAACATACCAGATTCCCCAATCTCAGTTTCCCTTTACTAAAAGACTTTTCTCAAACCACTTGATCCCATAGCCCCAAGCCCTATAAATATCCTCCTGACCTCCTCTGAACCTCTAGGTTCTGAGACCTAGTAAGACTTTGTCAAGCTTACTATAGTAGGCTTAATACACAGCTTTGATTGATCAACAGGTGCTTTTTTTTAGGCAAGTCAACAGGGGCTAGTGCTGAGCCTGTCACAGACCACATACTATGATATTAACAATATAATAATAACAAATAAAGGCCTAGCAGAGGCTAGCATAATACCAAATACTCAATAAATGAGGCGGCATAAAGCTACTTGCATAACTGTGGCAAGAAAGATGGTAATATTAATAAAATATCAGGTGACAAATAACAGGCCACAAGATATCCTGAGCTCAACTTGAACTTTTCCATTCCAAATGTGATATCAAATTTCTTTACCAAAGAAATTTTGTTTCTTTGCTTCTTTACCAAAGAAATTTTGTTTCTTTGCTTCTTTAGCAAAGAAATTCAAATCTAGGTACAAGAATACACAACGAATTGTTTTTACCTTAATAGTCAGGACAGAACAGAGTGATTTCAAATAAGTGACCCTTGTACTGAAAGCAGAATAAGTAACTACCTTTTTTTTAAGTCAATTCCATATTGATATTTCCAATATAACAAGGTTTCTTTTCTCCTTTCTCAAAAATTAGTTTATAATCCTTTTTTTTTCTAGTTTTGGTGTCCCACAATTACTTATTGTCATTTCAAGCAAAAATGAAAAATCACAGTATTATCCTTCCTGGAATCAGCTGCCAAGTCAGCTTCCATTCAGACAGTTCATCTTGTTGGCATCAGTCACAGTCTTCCTCAGAGGAACATGAAAGAATGCACAAGTGTAAGTCTCCTAGCGTTCTAGCATCCCAAAAAGAGTCCCATACAATTAGTAAACAACAGCAATGCAAGGACTCAAAAATAATAAGTCTTTGGTATTTGATCTAAATTTTTTCACTGGTTTTTCATTTTTATAGCTTTAATGCCATGAGTTTTGTCTAGGATTTTTTTTTTTTTTGCATATGTGCATCCAATTGTTCCAGCAATATTTGTTGAACAATCTATGCTCTCTCCATTGAATTACCTTTACTCTGTCAAAACTCAGTGGACTATATTTGTATGAGTCTATTTCTGGGCTCTCTGTTCAGTTCTATTGATTTATATGGCTATTCTTTCACCAGTACCATTTTGTACTAATTACTGTGCCTTATAGTAGGTTTTCAAGTTAAATAGTATGAGTCCTCCAAATTTGTTCTTCTTCAGTATAGGGTTAGCTATTCTATGTTTTTTCCCTTTCCACATAAATTTCAAAATTTGTTGGTATCTACAAAATACTTGCTGGGATTTTGTTGAATCTATAGATGAAGCTAATAAGAAATAACATCTTAATGATATGGAGTCTTCCAATCCATGAACATGGAATGTTTCTCCATTTACCTAGATCTTCTTTGATGTTTTTCATCAGTGCATTGTAATTTACTACATAGAGGTCATGTACATATTTTGTTAGATTTATACCTATTCCATGTTTTGGGTGCTATTGTAAATGATGTTTTTAACTTCAAATTTTAATTGTTCAGTGCTGGTATATTGGAAAGCAATTAACTTTTGTGTATTCGCCTTGTATCCTGTCACCTTGCAACACTCATTTATTAGTTCCAAGAACTTTTTGTCAGTTCCTTGAGATTTCCTGCACAGACAATTATGTCACTATGAACAGTTTAATTTCTTCTTTTCCAATCTGTATACCTTCTGTTTTCTTCTACAAATATGTTAGGTTAAATGGAAAAGAATTAAGGTTGAAGATGAAATTAAGGTTGGTAATCACCTGGCCTCCAGATGAGGAGATTATCCTGGATTATCTGGGTAAACCGATATGAAAGCAAAGGTTCTTATAAATGGGTAATATAGGCAGAGAGAGAGAACCAGAGAGATGGCAGCATGAAAAGGACTCAGCTGACAAGGAGGAAGCAGACTGCGAGCCAAGTAGTGCAGGCAGCCTCTAGAAATTAAAAAAGATAAGGAAACAGATTCTCTTCTCAGAGCCTCCAGAAGGAACACAGAGCTTCCCTACACCTTAATTTTAGTCACTGAGACTGATTTTGGACTTATGACATCCGGAACTGGAAAATAACAGATTTGTGTTGTTTCAAGCCACCAAGTTTGTGGTAATTTGTTACAACAGCAATGGGAAACTAACATACATATCTTCTGAAAATAAGCCTGTTGTAATTTTTTGTTCTTCCACAGGTAAAGTGGTGTTTTTTCCCTTTGGCTCTTTCAAGTTTTTCTCTTTGTTTTTCTGCCATTTGAATATGATATTCTGTCTTAGACCATTTTGTGCTGCTATTACAGAACACCTGAGACTGAGTAATCTATAATGAGCAGGCATTAATTTGTCTCACAGTTCTGGAGGCTGGGAAACCTAAGGCCAAGGGGCTGCACCTGGTGAAGACCTTCTTGCTGCATCACAACCTGGCAAAAGGCATCACATAGATGAGAGAGAGCAATAGAGCTTGAGAGAGAAAGGTTCAGAGGAGGAGGAGAAGGAGGCTGAATTTATTCTAAAAGTAAACCCACTCTTAGGATAACTAACCCATTCTCAATAATGACATTAATCCATTCATGAGGGCACAGCCGTCATGACCTAATCACCTCTTAAAGGTCCCTGTCTCAACACTATTGTGTTGGAGATTAAGTTTACAATACCTGAACTTCTTACAAACCACAGCACATTCTTAGGGGTAGTTTTATGGCAATTTGTTCTGCCCAGTATTCTATGAGGATCTATTGTTTCGCTACGTATTTTGAAATTGCCAAAAAAAAAAAAAAAGGAAAAAAGAAAAAAGATATTGTCCCCTCCCCAGTTCTTGGAAGTTCTTTTTTGTGTGTTTTTTTCTATTCTGTTTGTTTGCTTGTTCTTCATTTTCTCTCTCTGCATTTCAGTTTGGGAAGTTTCTATTTACCTATCTTCAAGCTCACTGATTCTCTTCAAGCTCACTGATACGTTGTGTTTACTGGAGCCTATCGAAGACAATCTTCATTTCTGTCACAGTATTTTTTATTTATAGTATTTCTATTTGATTCTTTTCTTAGAATTTCCATCTCTCTACTGACATTACCCATCTGTTCTTGCATGTTGTCTACTTTCTCCCTTAACATATTAATTTTAGTTATTTTAAATTTCTTACCTGGTAATCCCAAACTCTATGTCATATCCGAGTCTGGTTTTGATGTTTGCTGTATCGCTTCAGGCTGTGTTTTCTCTCACCTTTCCGTGTGCCAGAGGCTTCAAGTTCTCTGGCATTCTTGCCTTTGTCTCCCATCTTTACCTTGTGCTTCCGTAACTACTCCTACTTAGACAGAGTCTGTGCCTTGCAGCTCTTTCACCTGTGATCCACTGTTATTACTGGAGCCCTGTGGTATGTAGTAAAGTATGGGGAAAGGGAAGTGTTTTATAATCTTTAAATCTCAGCATTTTAGTGGGCCTGTGTCTCAGGACTGTGATCTTCACAAGTGTTTCTTCTTGTATAGCTTTAGGTGTAACAGGACAACTAGAAGGGACTCAAGTTAGAGAAACATCCTTCCCCCACAGCCCTCTCACAGGAGTCTGGTAAAGCCTTTCCCCTGGAGAGCAGACCTTTGTTTCTGGACATACTTCAGAAGGTTACTCGTCCCCTCCCCCTGCCAGAGCCACAGGGGTATCTTTGTCAGAACTTCACCAGGAGAACTTGGTGGGATTCCTGTAGGTATGCTCACGAAAACAAGGAGGACCCATCACAGTTCGGCCCCCAGGTGTTTCTCACTCCCATGCTAGTCCACACTCAGCCTCCAGCAAGTCATCAAAATTACCATTTAAGTGTTTTAACAAGTTAATTACTCCAGTGGATTCAGGTCCAAGTAAGCAGATCTTGGCTGTGAATTTCTGGATTTGCCTACTCTCCAGATTTTATTGTGGCAGTTTGTCCTGCAAATTCCGTTCTATGATGGAACTAAAAAACTCGCTGGTTTTATTTGTCCAGCTTTTCCTTGTTTTAAAGGCTGGAGTAACAACTTCCATGCTCTGTATATGTTGGAGCTAAAATTGGAAGTCTGTCACGATGGTTTTTTTTCTTTTTTTTCTTTTTTTTTTTTTTTCCTGAGATAGAGTCTCACTCTGTCATCCAGGCTAGCGTGCAGTGGCATGATCTCAGCTCACCACAACCTCCACCTCCCGGGTTCAAGCGATTCTCCTGCCTCAGCCTCCTGAGTAGCTGGAACTACAGGCATGTGCCACCATGTCCAGCTAATTTTTGTATTTTTAGTAGAGATGAGGTTTTACCATGTTGGTCAGAATGGTCTCAATCTCTTCACCTCAGGTGATCCGCCCGCCTCGGCCTCCCACAGTGCTGGGATTACAGGTGTAAGCCACCACACCCAGCCCATGATGGTTTTTTTCATTGAGGCCTCAGTTGGAAAATTCAAATGCTTGGAGCTACAATCATCTAAGAGCTTGCTCACACACATCTGATGATTTGTGCTGATGCTGAGTGGAAGCCTTACTGGAACTCTTGGCCAGAATATGCACACATGGTTTCCCCATGCAGCCTGAACATCTCAACATGATGTTGGGTTCTGAGGGCAAAAGTCTTGAGATGGAGAGAAGCCAGGTAGAGACTGCACCCTAGACTTCAAAGGATGTGACTTCATTTCCATTTCACTTCACTGGTAAGCAAAGTCACAAGCCCCCGCCCAGTATTTAGGGGAGGACCATACCCTCATCTTTAAGTTGGGGGAGTGTCAGTCACATTACAAGAAGAGCATGGGGATGGGGTGAATATATATGTGTGATTACTTTTGGAAATTTCACCTGTTGCAAGTTAAATATGGGGAATTCTGAGTCATCAAGAATTTTAGACCTCACCAGTCTGTGACTCTGAAATAATCTCAGAGTGACTTTTTCGTATTTATATTTTGAAAAAATATTGCAGGCTGGGCGCCTTCAAATCCCAGCACTTTGGGAGGCCAAGGTGGGTGAATCACTGAAGTCCAGGAGTTCAAGACCAGCCTGGGCAAGATGGTGAAACCACATCTCTACAAAAAGTACAAAAATAAAAAATTAGCTGGGCATGGTGGCCCATGCCTGTGGTCCCAGCTACTCGGGAGGCTGAGGTGGGAGGATGGCTTGAGCCCAGGAGGCGGAGGTTGCAGTGAGCCGTGATTGCACGAACTGCACTCTAGCCTGGGTGACAGAGTCAAATCCTGTCTTAAAAGAAAGAACAAGATTGCAAACTTACAGAAGAGTTGGAAAAGCTTTATATTTCCTGAATCATCTCAGAGTAAGTGGCTATCCTGATGCCCCTTCACCTCTGAATACATTCATGTGCACTACCTACCCACAAAGACATGTCCTGCTTAACCATGATACAAACCTCAAAATCAGGAAGTTTAAATTGATATATTACTACTCTCTCATCTTCAGACCTCATTCAAGTTCACCAGTTGTTCTAAAAATGATTTCTACTGCACAAGGATTCAGTTTAGAAACTTGCATTGCATTTAGCCATCATGTCTCTATAATTCATTTCAGAACAAAACTGTTCTTCAGTCCTTAGTCTTTCCTTAACTTATACAACTTTGATACTTTGAAGACTACAGACAAGATATTTTGTAGAATGCTTCTTAGTTTGCATTTGTATGTTTTCTCATGACTAGAATAGGTTATGCATCTTTCACAGAGATATCACAAAAGGTGTGCTATGTTCGTTTTCTTGCAACCTATCAGGTAGGATACCCTTTTCATTTATCTCATTACTAAGGATGTTCACTTTTATTCCTTGATTAAGATGGTATCTGCTAAGCTTCTCTACCATAAAATTACTCCTTTCCAATTTGTAATTAATAAATATTTTGTAGGGAGATATTTTGCAATGATGTGGCTATACCATTCCTCATCAAACTTTTGGTGTATTCATTTATATCAATATATACTCATGGTTTCCTATTATATTCAATAGGTCATAATACATTACTATCACTATTTATTTTGATGCTCAAATTTTCTCATATTTCACTAGTGGGAGTCCCTTCAAGCTGGTTTCTGTTCCTTTTAACATGTTTCCATCATCCTCTGAATACTTCTTTTTTTTCTAGCACTTCATGTACTTTCACTACCCCTGTTCTGGGATCAGCCAATTCTCCAAGGAGTTCTGGTTCATTCTAGCAAAGAATGGTATTTAGAAGTCAAGATATGGGTGATCAGTGTTCTCATTGTTATCGAGATGTTACTACTCCCAGGCCCCCTCAATGGACAGAGTTAGGGTGAACTAATATTTCTATCTATTATTTATTTCTATATCTACCTCTATATATTGAAGAGCATAAGTTAATACTGATACATCTAATTCTATTTCAATATCATAGGGTTTATTCTAATTTTCTCCTTTTCTGTACTGTACCTTCCTTCAATAGTGAGGAAAACTGGCTCCCATTATCTTTAATATAATTACTTAATTAATTTCCCATCTGCACTAATATGTCTTCCCCTATGCAGATGCCATTCTTACTTCACTCTAACACTCATGCTGGGCCATCCCAGGACACAGATGTCCTCCTCACCTTGCCTGGACTCTGACACCCTACTCCAGGCCATTCTTCCACATGGGCACCTCCTTGCTAGGCTAAGGTTCAGAGGACCCATGTCAGGCTGCCGCACTGTGATAGACTGCATAATGGACCCCCAAAGATGTCCACATCCTAGTCCCCTGAATCTGGGACTGTTGCTTTATATGGCAAAAAAAAACAAACAAACAAAAAAAAAAAAAAAAACTTCTCAGTTAAAAATCTTAAGAAGGAGGAGACAGTATCCTGAATTATTCAAGAGGTCTTAATGTAATCACGAGGGTCCTTATAAGAGGAAATCGGGAGTATCAGAGTCAGAAAGAATGAGAGAGCCTGGAAGATACTCTTCTGCTGGCTTTTAAAAAGGAAGAGGCCACTAGCTGAGGAATGAGAGTGGCCTCTAGCAGTTGGAAAAGTCAAGGAAACAGATTGTCTCCTAAAGTCTCCAGAAGGAACAAGCCCTGCCGATGCCTTGATTTTAGCCCACTGAGCCTAGTTTTGGATTTCTGCCCTCCATGATGATAAGATAATAAACGTGGGTTTTTTTTTTCAGCAACTAAGTTTGTTGTCACTTATTACCAAAGCAATAGGAAACTAATATGCTCACCCACCTCTTCAAGGACCTTCTCCTCATTCTGCTCAGGTTCTGACACCTTCCACACCAGGTTTCCTCCCTACACACTGTGCCTGGAATTTGGCTGCCCATAGTGGGCAATTACAGATGTCTACCTTACTCTGATGCACTTAATTGATTTAGAATAATATTGTTCAAATGGGAAGGAGAGAAGAATGAAGAGAACAGGATAAGAAAGAACAGGAAAATCCATTGACATTTCATGCTCAAGTTTTAATCACCAAAAATTGCCCCACCAGCAAGCATATGCCAGCAATTTCTGAAAGTCACTAAGGGTGAAAGCTATACGATAAGGGCTCTCCCACTGCAAGCCCAGGCTGCTGTCCCAGCTGCTTATAAGATTTGGGAGATACCTGCCCCTGCTGGCATTGGGAGAGGAATCAGCCCCCAAGGTGTCTTAGTCTAAAGCATGGTCCATCCCTCCTACAAGCTCCATCACACTTCTGAAACTAGGTGTGTTCATAAGAGAAGAAACATACAACATAGAGAATAATTGACAACCACTGCATAGGCCAGTCTCAACTCAAGTTCTCTTAAAGGATCTTCTCCCTGTCTCATTCCCTGCTATAATCACAGCACCTAATACAGTTTATATCTCTTCATGTCTCACAGTCTGGCCAAACTGAGATCAACCTCAGAGAGAGGGAATGTTTTATCCAGCCCTAGATTAAAATTTATCTCCTGGGGCTTCATTACACATGGTATGATTAATCACTGCTCAAGATGATCGATGGTGGGAATTTCCAATCCCTTCCCCAGAAGTATGGTCTAGAACTGTGGTCCAGGCAAGACAGCTTCACAGTAGCCCTTCATCTGTTTATACATCAAAGTCTGCATCAATGAATCTTAATTCAAACAAGAGTGGAGACACCAGTAGCAGATCATATTAGCTGTAGTTGTGCCAAAATTAACCAAATTTACTTCCAATCTTGCTTCATCAAAGATTCAAAAGTTTTAGCATCAGATCTCACCCACTGTCACTTAGTTACCCAATAATCAAAATAATGACCCCTGATTATTGTCAATGACTCAAATGATCCTTTGTGTGATCTATTTCACATAATCCTACTGTTGCTGTTGGAGGTTTATGTGAAATTGTTGAGAAGGAAGCCCCAGATGTCTAACCCTCTCTATCCTTGACATTCATGATCTTGCCACCACTACACGTTCCACAGCTGGTAGAACTAATCTCACTATATCCATTATCTTGTTTATGTCGGTAATCATAAGAAGTCTCAGACTCACAACACATCCCTATGCACGTTCCCTTTTATGACAACCTCTCTTACTTTGTCTCACTGGGTCTTCTGGAATTTACAGCCCAGAACTAACCAAATCCATCATATCCTCAACTTCCTCCTTCTCAAAAGATAAACTGGCCCTCCCCTAAGGACATTGCTTCCCCTGAATTCCTCTCAAGTGTGGCTGATTTTCTCTTCCGTCTTCTGGGCCCAGCACACTGGTCTGCTGGTTCTTCTACCACTCCAGGAAAATCTCTTCAGAGCCTTTGCAAGGATATACCTTTTGCCTGGAATTCAAATAGCTACCTCTCTTACTTCTTAAAGCGCTTCCTCAAATGGCATCTCCTCAATAAGGCCACATATAATTACCCTTTTAAACCTCTAGCCCTCCCACTCCACCATACATAGGACTCCTAATTTCCCTGTCCTGCTCTCCTTTAACTATTTTTCCATGACACCAATCACCTTAGAGAATGCCATGCAATAGACTTACATATTATGTATTTTGTTCATTGTTTATCTGTCCCTTGCTTAATTTCAAATTCCCCAGGGGCAGGGATCCTTGGCTGTTTTGCTTGAGTAAGGTATCTCAAGGTCTACAACAGCACCAGGCATGTAGTAGGTACTCCAGTAAATATTTCTTGAGTGAAAGAATCAATTCGTACCACAATATTATGAGGAACACACAATTATTTTTCTTTTTCAGACAATAAAGCTGAAACTTAGACAATATACATAATGTATTAAAGGTCACACTACTTGTAATGGAATAACTTGGATTCCAATCCAAGCCTTCTCCCTAGAGCTTACACCCACTACTCCACCCCCACTGGTGTTTGCCAGCATTGGATGAGGGAGAGGAAGATTCTGAAATGAAGGAGGAAATAGGAAGGTGGAGAAGGGGCTAGAAATAAATCTCTGTGTGCCAAGCTAAGCAGTTTAAACTACATTCCATAGCAGAACCTCTGAATTGAATAGTGACATAATTAAATCTGTATCTTAGAAAGATAATTCAAAGAGCTGCTAACTGGAAAAGCGAAAGCCAACAAAATGCTAGTGGAAAGAAATACCACATTTAATGGAACCAAATGCAACTCTAAAATTTCCACAGCTAAGAAGACTCCCCTCCCTACTAATTCATTAATAGGTAGTTCTTTCACTCCAGGTCTCACTTAGAAAAAGTCCAACACAGCATAAGTAGTTGTGAACTTACACTTTATTCATATATATTAGATATTGATAATTTTAACAAATGAGTTACTTTCCATTTGGGTACAGTCACAGTTGTCAACAATATTTGGAAGCACCAGGCATGAAATCTCCTGAGATGCTATGTTTTCATCAGGGTCACCTGACACATTCAAGTTCTGTCTGACATGCCATTAAAGCACTGGCTCAGATTGCAGGCATATTTTCAAACCGGCAGTAACTGGATAGTATCACTTCACTTATAAGTGTTCATTGTATCATCAAGTGAAATAAACACACAACCCATGGGATCTTGCTTAGGTTGGCTGCCTAGTTGGCCCCTGAGATAAAGCCTTGTAATCACATAGCCTTGCCTAATTAGTCAGAAAACAAAGGATTAAGTGAGACAGTCACAGGATATAGGAATTATAAATAATACATATATTAATAGATATTCATTTTCATTACACAAAAGTTGCTATTATAAATACTTATTTGATTGATGAGTCTAAAAATATATTCCCCATATAAATAATGTTAAATATTAATAAATAGATTTAGATTTAAAATTCAAATATTGCAGGCAGGACAACCATTACTGGGATGCTCTTCGACCTCGAAACAGCATCTGACTCCTTTTTCGCTTCCCTGTTTTAGCTGCTGGCGACAGTTCAGCCATCACTTGGATGAGTTCATGTATTGCTTTGCGTTGGACATTCAAGTCAGTTACCTATCGGGAAAGAAAAGAGCAAAATTAATTTCAGGCATATAAGCCATCAGGATATTCTGCTAATGTCATGATGGTCAGTGAAAATAAAAGTATTCCTTTAAAAAATGGACCGTATTACCTTAATATACAATATTTACTTCTTCAGCAGTTGAAGCTAAAAATTACAATTACATTTCTAGTTGTGCTATAATGTGGTGGAGTCCATCACATATCTTTAAATCTACTTCTATAGAATTCTTGAAATTATATAGTGAAAAGACTCCTGGTTGTGGAGTCAGCATAAAAAGGTGGGTTTGAATCTCATGCATGCAATAATTCTGACCTTGAGCCAGCTACTTAACCTCTCTGAACTTCTATTTTCTCATCTAAAGGAGGATGAGACTGTTTCTATGACCTCTCTATCATCAATCTACCAATTATATCACTTTATACTTCAGTCTTTCCTGTATGCATCAAATGAGTAACTATAGGTCAATGATTCTCACTGTTGTGCATAGCAGATTAATCCGGAAACCTGTCAAAGACCTCAGAGATCCAGGTGCATGAAGTGGAAGGACTGTGCCCTGTGCATTCACTAAGCTCCCCAGGTGATTCTGACATCCACCTAAGTTTGAGAACCACTGATCTAGGTTAGGTACCCTAGAAAACACCAAATCCAAAACGAGTGAAAACTGTAATTTTTAATTTCTCCCAGATTAGGTCAGTCTCTCAATTTCCATAATAGATTTTAAAATAAACACCCCCAATCATATTTATATATGGCTTACTGATATATAAAGTTTAAAATTAAGAATTGCAACAACTTTTCCAGTACCCTGCCTTCTAGGCAAGCAAATTGAACTACTTGCATCTCCTCACTCTAACCAATAGGGCCATTTAGATGATGCTTCATAAAATGTGGACCATTTACCTTCCTCTTGGCTCTGCCATTACATTTTTTCTAATCTTGGGAACACTATGGCTACTCACCACATTTCTGAGGATGGCTGGGGGATTACAGCTAAAGACTAATTGTCAAAGGGC
Organism: Homo sapiens; assembly: GCF_000001405.40. Taxonomy (NCBI): domain Eukaryota; kingdom Metazoa; phylum Chordata; class Mammalia; order Primates; family Hominidae; genus Homo; species Homo sapiens. Next base: position 68,156,511 of record NC_000012.12, read on the forward strand.
ATAACATGCATAAAATAGCTTAGCAACTGAGCCAAAGAGAATAATAATTAATAGAGCTCACTCAAGATTGCCCATCAAGAAACAGGAGGTTTGTAGCTTCCAGAAGGAAGAAACCACAGATTTTTTTTCATTTTTTTAAGGCCCAGTTCCTGCAGAGTAGAAAAAATTTTCGACAAGCTGTGTGTTTGCAAGTGACAGATTTTACTTTCCAATGTTCAAATCATCACCAAGAAACTAAGAGACTTATCCAGGACTGAACAGTAAGCCAGGGGCACCACTGGATTAGAAACAAGTGCTGAGTGTCTAGTTTATAACCAAAGGAGACCTGTTGCCATGTCTCTCCTTTCTGTTTCTGGGGGCTTACATGAGAGGAGTGAGAGGCAGGCCCAGCAATAGTGAAAGCTGAGCACATATCCTAAGAACACAAATGCTAGCTTGAAGACCCTGGTCCCTCTCATTTGAGCCCATTTATATCAAAGTCAACCCCAAAGGAATCTAGAGGCCTTTGTCTTCTAGAAAACATTTTGAAAAACATGATTTGTCTTTATGCCTCAACGTTATCTTTCTGTTTATAGAAGCCATAACTTAAAGATACAAGTTCATGAGGTAAGACTTAGGAGTCTAAGGAGTTCTCCAGCTGAGATATTCTGAAAGTTGATAGAGAGTTGATAGAACAATCTTTTCATAAGGTATAAATTCTATCTATTTTTCCCTAAAAACAAACAAACAGCAACCATTCTTGCTTCTAATTGGGCAGTACAATCTGATAGGTTGGCTAGAGACTTGCAGTGGGGTGTCCCTGGTACCTATTCAAAGACTGTAGCTTTCTTCTATCTCATTCTCATTTTCTATTCTTTGCATTGTAGAGTTTTGGAGCAAAGAAGGTCATCAAACTTATACAGTGAGCCTAACAGTTTCCTTTTAAGATGAGGAAACTGAGCCCCAGCCAGCCATGTGATTCATCACAGTTCCTTGGTGGCTGAGTTGGGAGGAGAACACACATCTTCTCAGCTCCTCCCACTGCTCTTTCCATTAAGACAGACAGCCTCTCATTCAAAGTAAGAGAATTTCCATCATATGAGCAAGGGACAATGAGAGAACTGCTTCTCAGTACTCCCCGCTTCTTCCTCACCTACTTCCTCTTCACTGGATTTGTCAACTCACCTGTCTTTACGCAATAGTTACAATGCCAGCATTTCTCTACATTACATACTTCAGCGATTCTCTTACTGGCTTTGCAAAGTCACCCAAACACGAATGGAAATAGTAAGGTAGAGTTTCAGCCATGAGTTGAGTTCATAGCTTTAGCAACTGTTAAATAGCTAATGTCTACTTTCTGGAGAATAAATGCTTTGCAAGACCCTCGGCAATGAAACCAAAGAAAGAATTTAAATAGCCTCACCGAATAATTAGTCAGCTTTTCGAAGTCATCTCGTTTCTTTTTGTTGCTATTGAAAAACTTGACATTCATGTCTTCCTTGATGGTCTCCACACTCTTTTGGATGCTCTGGTCATCTTTAAAGTTTTTAAAAAGTTTGAAGTAAAAGGAGACAATTTGGCTCTGCATTATTTTTCTGTCACTCTCCTTGGAAGGAAAGAGCACAAACAGAGGATGATGTGAATTTATCCATCAGAAAGCAAGCAACAGGAAAATTAGCCAAATGGGAATATTCAGCTTACCTCTTTCCAATTCTTCAAAATGCCTAAGAAAAGAGTTCCATTATCCGCTACATCTGAATGACCTGCATTCTAAAAAAAAAAAAAGAAAAAATTGGTTTACAATTAGCCCATAAATTGCCTTAAAAATATATTTCAAGTTTCATTGAACTCAGATGTGACAATATTCACTGATTTCCTTTTCAACTCTTCTGCTTAGTTCTAACAATAAGTATTCCCAAAAGGCTTATGTGAGATATAGACAAAGACTATTATGTTCTTTTAGCTTTTTTATTTCCCAATATAACCATTAAATTGCAATGTCACAAATGAGCTCAACAAAGCTGATACTCCAAAGGTCCCAAAAACTATAGTAAGCTAAAGAAAGTATTTTCAAGCTAGGCTAAAAAATACAAAAACAAAAAACAGCAAAGCCACCCCACTATAAAATACTGCCCCCCAATGGTACAGGTTTCTATTACATCTACTGTGCCTTCCTGTAGGGTATTATTATACGAGCTTTAAAAGATAGTTCCAAACATGTGCGAGTGTGTGTGTGTGTGTGTGTGTGTGTGTGATTTGATTTTGTGTTGTAAGAATAAAATCAATTGTGAATGTCTGAATATTATTATGACAGCTATAATTATAACAGCTAAGTTTTAAACAAATAATGAAATATTTAAAATGTAAAAACTTTTCATTAACCATCAATAAAATTTTAAAAGAAACTCAAAAAATTCACTTAAAATTTTTAAACATTCCTTAGCCAGAATCATAATTCTTCCAAAATCCCAGTGAGCAACGAAGTTCCGGAATACTTCACAAGTAATATAGATAGAGAAGCAGAATGTTGAAATCACTTTTTGGAGAAAATCACCTATCAGTTATTTTTTTAAGCCAAAGCTTTAAGGACCTTTTTGACTTTAATTTGTAAACATTTCCTATTACCTTTTTAATGCTAATCTTGACCTTAGAGTCTGAGAAGTCAAAAACTAATAACCAATCATTTTTTTCAATCTGCATACTCCTTGACTATCACAACTGAATGAGTTCCCACCACAAAATTATTAACATCATTATGCTTCATACCCATATTATGCCCATCTTTTGGAAAATTCATAAATCCCTTTTAAGTCTCTATACAAACTGAGCAGAAGGTTAAAACAATATCTAGATTATTTAGTCAAGGAACTCATCTAGTCAATAATTAACAAAATAACACCAAATCTCAAAATGACTGCCTACAAGAGATGACAGCCTATCAGAGATGCTACAGCAAGTCGATATTCAGTCATTTTCAACCACAAACAAGTACTATTAAAAAGTCATACTTACAAAATATTTCTTAAGGTTTTCTGCTTCTTTTACATATGGGTCCTGGCAGTAACAGCCAAGAGAACCCAAAACGATGCAGAGCTGAAAAGCCAAGATATAACTTGTATATTTCATCGTTTCCGAGAGAATTAAGCCAAAGAAGTTGAAATCAGTAGTTCTTGTATCAAGCTGATCAGGTCCAAAGGACTTAACTGATCTTTCTCTTCTAATAGCTGATCTTCAGATGATCAGAACAATGTGCTGCACCTCCTCTGGCTGCTGGTATTTATACCTAATTGAAGTCTCCTGAGGATTACGTATTTTCACAAGTTTTTTAAGATGAGATGGTGACAGATAGGCAGGGATGATAGTTTGTATTAATAACTAAGGTTTTGTGGCATTTGGGTGTTGTAGTTAGAGTTTCCTTTAGACTCCTTGGGTCCTTTGACGATGAGACAGACCCATTATGCCCACCTGTGCCATTCTGGTGGGATTCTTTGAAGGCACTTTTACTTCACACCATTCAAGGACTGGAAATTTTTTTGTACCTCCCCACTTCGCCCTGGTAAAATGTTGACTCTTCATTCACAAAGCACATTGATCATTTGCTTGTGGTTGGGAACAAGTGAAAAACGAAATTCTAGGGCCTCTCAAACCTTTACAAAGGGGCAGCCTTTTAAAATTTTTCTTGCAAATGACCAGAAAGCAAGGAAAGAATGCGGTTAAAAGAACAATTTGGTGAGGAAGTCCTTCATCAGAGTTGGTTAGTAAAATATCTACCACAAGTTTCAAATTGCTCTAGATCAGCACTGCCCAGTAGAAATACAATACAAGCCACACAGGTAAATTTAAATGATCTAGTAGCCTCATTAATAAAAGTTTTTTTAAAAGGTAAATATAATTTTAAAATATATTGTATTTAAACCAATATATCCCAAATAGTACTTCAGTATGCATCAATATACTACATTGTTAATAAGGTATTTGACATTCTTTTTGTCATATTAAATCCTTGAAATACAGTGTAGAGAATATTCCCAGGGGGAGTTCCAGACGCAGTGGCTCACACCTGTAATCCCAGCACTTTGGGAGGTTGAGGCGGGTGGATCACAAGGTCAGGAGTTTGAGACCAGCCTAGCCAATATGGTGAAACCCCATCTCTACTAAAAATACAAAAAAATTAGCCAGGCATGGTGGTGTATGCCTGTAATCTCAGCTACTAGGGAGGCTGAGGCAGGAGAATGGCTTGAACCCAGAAGGTGGAGGTTGCAGTGAGCCGAGATCGCGCCACTACACTCCAGCCTAGGTGACAGAGTAAGATTCCGTCTCAAAAAAAAAAAAAGAAAAAAAGAAAAAAGGAAAGAAATACAGTGTATATTTTAAGCCTACGGTGCATCTCAATTTGGTCTAGTCGTATTTCAAACGCTTAATGGGCACATACTGCTAGGTGCTACTATATTGAACAGCATAGCTCTAAACAATTTATTGTTCCAAATAATCAGTACTAACAGAGAATCTTTTTAACTTTTTATTTCTTTGTCTTTCAGATACAAAAAAAAATAGGATTCTTTCTCCTCCTTTGTAATTTATTTATGAAGTACAACACTTTGGGATGGCACAAAAAGCCCTCCACTCTTTGGTTCAAACCCACTTTGCATTTCTACCTGTACTGTGTACATAACAGTATTGCAGTTATGGGGCAAACTTGATTCCTGACTCCTCTACTATCTAGCTATATGATTGTGAGTTAGCTTCTTAAATCTTCTATGACTCAGTCTCCTTACCTGTAAAACTGGCTTGATAATAGTATCTTCTTCCATGCTTCAGTTGAAAATTAAATCAGGTAATCCTCATAAAGTGCTAGGAATTTTTCCTGGCATATAGTAATCACTAATAAAAGTTTATTATTATTTTGGCACATTGGATGACTAGTCATTTCTTTTTTTTTTTTTTTTTTTTTGAGACGGAGTCTTGCTCTGTCACCCAGGCTGGAGTGCAGTGGCGCAATCTCGGCTCACTGCAAGCTCTGCCTCCCGGATTCACGCCATTCTCCCGCCTCAGCCTCCCGAGTAGCTGGGACTACAGGCACTCGCCACGCCCGGCTAATTTTTTTTTTTTTTTTTTTTTTTGTGCTATTTTTAGTACAGACGGGGTTTCACTGTGTTAATCAGGATGGTCTCGATCTCCTGACCTCGTGATCCGCCCGCCTTGGCCTCCCAAAGTGCTGGGATTACAGGCGTGAGCCACCGCACCCGGCCTAGTCATTTCTTTAAAAAAAAAAAAAAAAAGTACCCTGGACCTTTGCTCATGCTGTTTCTTTGGTCTTGAGTTCTTTTTCCCCTCATTTGTGCCCCTGAGAGTAGTAGCCATCCATCCAAGCCCGGCTTAAAAATTACCATCTCCCTGAGTTTTTCCAAAATTATCCTCCTTAAAATTAATCTTAGATTCTCTATACAAGTCTTGGTTTATACTTTTCTAAGAGTTCTGATTCCTCAATCTTGATTGAAGATAGCTATTCGCGTGTCTTCTGCCATGTTAGATTGAGTTTCTGAAAATCAGAAATTGTTTCATTGCTTTTATGATGGCTTTCTCTTCCCTAAAATATTTTAGCATGGAGATTTGCTCATAAAGAGCACTGAATAAATGTAAATTCGAATGCTTGCCTAAGGCTCTCTTTTGAGTTATTTGCCCTCAAATTCTAATTCCGATGTTATCAGGCCTAACCTGTAAGAAACTAGTTTTTAATTAAATAATATTTATGATTAATGTTAGAAACATGATGCTGTGTCTCTTTAGCCAACACTTGCTGACTGCGACAATTTCGTGTATTCTTTTATGTGGGAAAAAAAAGCCAGAAAGCTCTTTGAGGGGCGATCTTCCCAAAGAATAAATAAGATCAAAACATTTATGTGGAACCAAACCTCATGTTAAGCAAGTGAAGAATGTAAAAATTACATTGTTGCATACAAAGCTCTACTGTTGCTCTGCTCAAGAAAAATTACGTCCAGAGAACGTGCTTGCAGGTGGCACAGGGATTTGGGTCAGAGCCTGAGACACTTTGCAGGTTCTCAATACCTTCCAATGCCCAACCTCTGAGTCACTGGAAGGAATGTTCCCAACTGTCTGGAAATAAGTAAAAATTAGTTCTGCCTGGTCCTTGATTGCTCCACTGGAATGTAGTACTAGGATTGAGGAGTTAAGAATAGTGGGATCCATAAGAGGGAATGATATACTGCCTAGCCACTTGTAAATTGAGAATGCCTATTCAAAATAACAGATTATATTAAGAATATGTTTACAGTGTGGCAACTGTTTACAAAGAGTAATTACACGGCTAAAATCCAAGCTCTAATAACTCTTGATGGCATGGCCAAGCACAGAATTATGGAATTATAGATTATCTATGGTCAACCCCTTACCTTTTAGATTTGTAAATCCAGACCCAGAAAGACAAGTGATGTGCTTAAATTCATTCAACTGGCTAATGCAGAACTGAGTCTAAATCCAAGATCTTCCCAAAGAGGATGGAACCCTTAGTCAATCCATCCCCCAATCTATCAATATCCATTGAGATGATTGCATGTACCTCTACGTTAGATATGTGAATTCAAATAACTACACCCTATCAGGCTTTAGTTTCTGAGATTTTTTCTTCTGTAGAATTTGTGAGATAGTAATCACACTTTAATTCCTTAAAACATAGTAAGACTGCAAGTATAATTTGAAATTGTTTCTGAAATATATTTTTGAAATTTTTGCCTAGACATCCCAGCCAACCTGACTTCATGGACATGCAACCTGTGCAGTCTGACAGGACCCTGAACTTAGAACAGCCCACACTTGGTTTAATGCTCTGTTGTCACTTCCTTGAAATTTCTAATAACTCTTCAAACAAAGGACACACATTTTCGTTTTGCACTTGTTTCCACAAATTATGCAGCTGGTCCTGCATTCCAGACTGGCAGTGAAACATCTGCTATTAGATTTTCATCTTTCAACATATGATTCTTTTGTTCAGAACATTATCACTACAATAAGTATATACGTTTGTGATCTTTTCCTGTCTTGTCAACTTTGCAAACAAAGAAATTTCTCTCTCTTTTCTGCCTGTAAAACACCTTTTGTTGCACATGCAAACTAGAGGTTTCACACTTTGTTGGTTTGGCCAGTTCTGAGACTGCAGAATAAGTCACCATCAAGATATACTTTAAAAGTTTTGCAAAGCCATCAGGAGCCAAGGTGTGACCATATTACTAAAACAGAGGGGCTGAAAACTTTCTTTTTTCTTTTCAACTAGACTTTTTTTCTGAAAACTGGCTATGGTTATACATGACACATCAGCAACATTTCAATCATATCTCATGCTATCCTCAGTCTTAACTGAGTAGGTAGTCAGTAAGCCAAAACTTACACCTTGGTTTCCCTTTTCCTCTGTCATCAGCAGTCACATCCTAGCACTCACAACCAAATTATCTCATCCAGACTTTGGCGTAGATTTCTTCCACTCAATATGAGTCAATATTGGATCCATGCCCCCACGCTATTTTGACTTCCGGAACTCCTGACATCATGCAAGCCAAACCTACGGAAGAAGCATGACATACAGAATAGAAGTCCACACGGAGTCAGATTTTCCCCGCAATTTGACTCATAAAATCCCGTAAGTTAGAGGAAGATTTTTCTGAATCCCCCCTTTTCTTTTGTGCCTTCTGGCCATTTTTGAGGAGTGGTTCAAAGAATATAGAAGGTATGCTACTTACACAGTACAATCATCAGATTACAATATTCTTAATTTTATATCAGATGGGATTGTGTATTGATAATCCAGAGATTCATGGTCCTGCTTTGAAGGTTGTATTTTTGTTCCACAAGGAATTTTAATGCACCAAGTGCCAAATACTTCGATTGATATGGGGTTTCCAAAGAAGGATGAAAAGTTCTATTGTGAAAATGTTGGTTTATATCCCAATTTCAATTAATTAATATGTGCTTATTGAATTGAATGCCTACTAGATATCCATAGCTTTAGGGGTTACAAAGAAGTTAGCAGTGAGACAATCCGGTAGGAGCATATGTCACCACATTGGAAGCTAGGATTGATTCCTGTTCTTGTTGCTGAATAGGTAGAATAGGTATCCATATTCCCCACCTTTTCTCCATGTACATCCTCTCCAGGTGGTTCATATCGTTAAGAGGACTTATTATTGGTCAGAGGGAAATACACACATTGACATATGTATTGTGTTTCCTCCTCCTATACCCAAGGCAGACGTCACTAATCAGTCACGGCATTCCTTTCTATTAAATCCAGATATCACTGCTGAATCCTTCTCAACACTGAAATCCAGATAGATACTGACTTATTTATATTTCATTGCTTATTTTCCCTATTAGGGCAAAGGTTTACTTGTTGTTATGCCTCTTAGATCCTCCATATGGGTTCATTCAACTTACAAAGAAGTAAAAGGCATAATCTCTTCCTCCAAGAAAATTAGTATTGGGGGAAAACGTAACAATCCATGAAGTAATATAAGGGAAAGAACTTTGGCCTAAGAGAAAGGAGTCCCAAATTCTGGTCCTGTGTCTGCAAGTGATGTGAGATTTTGAACAAAGCCTTTACCCATGCCTCATATTTAACCACATCATCTTTAAAATGAAGACTTAACTCTAAATGAACTCTAAGTTTCCTTCTATTCTTAATATCCTACATTTCTATGATTGTGATTTATGAGGAATATAAGACATTACTAAGGACTAAGGTTGCAAGAAGTAAAGACTCCAACAGACTTAGAAATTCAGAGAAATCAGCCAAGTGCAGTGGCTCATGCCTGTAATCCCAGCAGTTTTGGAGGCCAAGGCAGGCAGATCACCTGAGGTCAGGAGTTCGAGACCAGCCTGGCCAACATGGTGAAACCTCATCTCTACTAAAAATACAAACCCCATCTCTACTAAAAATACTAATCTCATCCCTACTAAAAATACAAAAATTAGCCGGGCATAGTGGCGTGTACCTGTAATCCCAGCTATTCAGGAGGCTGAGGCAGGAGAATCACTTGAACCCAGGAGGCGGAGGTTGCAGTGAGCCGAGACTGCACCACTGCACTCCAGCCTGGGTGACAGAGCAAGACTCTGTCTAAAACAAACGAACAAACAAAAAAAAGAAAAGAAAGAAATTCAGAAAAAATCATTGTCTGAATGGTGGAAAAGTTGGGAAATTTTACCCATCACTTGAGTTTTTAATTTAATTTGAATTTGAGCTTTGAATTGGATTGAATTTTTAAACATACATACAATTTGTAGGAATAATACTTCACAGCTTGTACTTAAACCTTCAGGTCATGTGCTTTTTTACCCCAGTGATCTCAAGAAATGAGTTGTCCTCAGGGTAGCCCCTGAAATGGCAATGGCATGAGGCTTTGAAAACTTGTATATTTTTCCAATGGAAACTTACTCCTGTATCTCTCATGATAAAAGTTCTATACAGCAGACTGGCAGGTTCACGTTCTCTCCTATGCTACCTGGCAGAGGAATTCTGAGTCCATGATGAGCCAATAGATAAGTTTCTTTTCTCACCAGTGTTTAACCTGTCATTATTACCATGTCACCAATCCCTGAACCAATTTAAGAAGTATCAGAATTAAATTCCCATCCATTGATTTTTCAAATGGAAATATTTTTTAATGGTTGTAAAATTATGTGGGATCTTTTAAATAAAAAAAAAAACAGAAAATACAGAACAGCATAAGAAAAGAAAAAAATCACCTATGATTTCACTTTCCACAGGTAAATATAGTTAGCTTTTGGAGACAAAGTATTTCATTATTTTTTTCTACCTACATAACACAGTGCCTGGCACAAAATTTTTTCCCAATAAACTTCTGTGGATTAACGAAATATGAGCCAAAGTGATTTAATGATTAAGTTCAAAGGCTCCGGAGTCAGGCTGTGTGTGTTCAATCATGACTTTGCTCCTTACTGTCTTGTCGATTATTAGTGCATTACTTAACTTCTCTGGGTATCACTTTCCTCGTCTGTAAAAAGGTGATATAAATAATAACTGTCTCAAAAGATTTCATGAGTATAAATTATGTCAACATGTGTAATAGTGCAATGCCTTGCATGTGGTAAGAGCTCATTAAATGCACAGTCATTATTACTAGTGGCTTCCAATATTCAGATTCAGTCTCCTCCTAGCAAATGGAATAAGATACTTCACGGCCTCTTTCAATTAAATGGTATCTTGTGACTTTTTTCTGGCCAATCTACTCTAAGTAATGACAGACATTACTTTGGATTAGAGTAGATTGGCCAAAAAAAGTCATGAGATACCATTCTGGGCCAAGGCCAAAGAAAGCCCCTGAGAATCCTTCCAGCTCTCTCTTCCCTTGCTGCAGTAATGATAAGGGTCACATGTTTTGAGGACACGAAACATGGCAGATAGAATACATGCTACCTCTACATTCTTTCAGAATCCGTAAGACAAAAATAACAACATAAAAGGCTATAAAGCCTCAACAACAAAAAAAGCCAAAAGCAAATGAGAAATGTCAATGAAGTTATGGAAGATGGAAAGAAGATGAGCAAGTGGTGAGTAACTTCAACTTTAGATTTCTCCACTGCGGCAAGTACCAAGTAGAGGAAATTTAGTTCACACTGCAGATTAGTAGAAAACTCAGGAATTGTGTTATTAATCACTTCTGAAGAAGGAAGTTCAGGGTGGGATTGAAAATAAGACAATTGGTTGAAAAATGTATATAAGATGTAGTTAGATCCCTCGTATCCCACTTAGCCACACCACTGCCCCCGTATACCTGTTTGAAGACTGGAAGTTTACCTTCCAGCAAGGTTCTGGATATCTTCTGGATATTTAGCATAGCTGAGAAGGAAGTAAGTACCTTCATAAGGTTTGGATTTATTTGAAAGTCATCATACTGAGCAGTGAGAACACGAGGCTTCCAGAATGCTTACTATCAGGCTTATATTCCTAGTGTCTAGGAAATTGCCAAGCCTAAAAGAAAAGATGTACTAATGTGGGGTTCCTGCCAGTGAAACTCACCAGTTTCAAGTATCACCCTACTAAGAGGCTTGTAAGTCAGGAAGTCCAATCAATATATTTAATGTACCCAATCCAACAATTTGGACTTTGTTATAAAACATAAACAACATTAATGAACAGAAAAATACTTGAAAAAATACTTTAGGATAAAATACAAAGTCTAAAAAACAAACAGAAAAAATAAATAAAAGAAATGAAGTTTAATGCCGAGAAAAATAACAAAGAGAAAAAAATTTAAAAAGTAATAGAAGATTCATGGAACAATAACATTTAGAGAAGAAGAAGCTCTTAGAACTTAAAAGCTGGTGGTAGAGCCAGGTGCAGTGGCTCATGCCTGTAATCCCAGCACTTTGGGAGGCCAAGGTGGGCAGATCACTCGAGGTCAGGAGTTCGAGACAAGCCTGGCCAACATAGTGAAACCCCGTCCCTACTAAAAATATAAAAATTAGCCAAGCATGGTGGCACACATCTGTAGTCTCAGCTATTTAGGAGGCTGAGGCTGGAGGATTACTGGAGCCCGAGAGGCAGAGGTTGCAGTGACCCAAGATCGCACCACTACACTCCAGCCTGGGTGACAGAGTGAGACTCAGTCTCAAAAAAAATGGTGGCAGAAGTTTAAAAGCAATAGAAGGGTTGAAATATAAAGTTGAAGAAATCTCTAAGAAAGAACAAAATGACCAAGAACTGGAAAAATATAAAGAAATTCACGAAAACTAAAGAATCTACTTAGAAATCCAACACTTAAGTAACAGGTGCTCCAGAAAGAGAAAATATGTAATTGAAGGAAGAAAATTTTCAGAAGATTATTTGTATAATTTTTCCATAGCTGAAGAATGTGAGTTTCCAAAATGAAAAACCCAACGAATGCCCAGCCCAATGAGTTTAAAAAATAAAAATAAAAAGACAGGCCTTGGAGTGCATTTTTAAATTTCGGAGAATCTTGTATGTGAGAAGATCCTCAAAGTTCAAGAGAGAAAACATAGGTTGTAAACATTATAAATACAAAGGATGCAGAAACAGAATGTCACCGGACTTCTCAATAGCTATTCTGGAAGCTAGAGGTTGATGGAGCAATGTTTTTAAATATTGGAATAAAATAGTGTCCAAACTAGAATTTCACGCTATGTCAAACAATTAATAGTTAGGATGAGACAATTTTTTTTATTCATGGGAGATTTCATGACTTTATGTCCCATGTGCCCTTTCTCATGAAGCATCTTGAGAAAGTCAAGAAAGTGTTTAACCTAAATAAAGAAATTAAATTAAGGAAGAAGACCTGGGATCCAGGAAACAAAGGATTTAACACAGGAAAAAGCTAGACTATTTTCTAGCAGGTGGTGAGGGAAGTCCCAAGAGGATCATTGTGCAGCAGGCCTACAGAGCAACCAGCACTGGTTGGAACTAAAGGACTGGGAAGCCCAGGAGAAATGTCTCCAAGAAAAGAAATGGAATTAATATGAACATTACGAAGAAATTTCACCCCTGACAGAGACTGGGGTAGGGGAAGGTAAATTAATGATGAGTATGTGGAAAACTAAGAAAACCAACCAAACAAAGCCAATTATTAACTTCAGGAAAAGCAAATATTGTGCACGAAAAAAATGTAATATTGTACCACAAATGTCATGAACAAGAATTACCTAATCATAGTCATGTCCATTTTACCACCTAAAGTGTAATATAGCTATAATGGGAAGACAGAGGACAAAGGGGCTAAGTGTATATGTGTATAGGGTAGAGTAAGTCATAGTCATATTACCTGAAATGGGAAAAATTCAATGTAAGAAATAGGTAGTTTTACTGGGTAAGTAGAAGTTGAGCTAAGAAATGAAGCTAAAGGAATTGAAAGTGATAGCCTCAGAGAAGTATGTTTTAGAGATGGAACTGCATGAATCAGAGTTACTGGCTTTTTGTTATAAGCCTTGTGGTATTTGGAACATCTGGGAGTCCCCAAAGCCACCTTCATTTCTGACACCAGCTGAAAGTTTGGAACCAGCCCCAGGTTCAATAATTCACTAGAAGGACTCATAGAACTAAGAAAAACCATTATACTCATGATTATGGTTTATTACAGCAAAAGAATACAGATTAAAATCAGCAGAGGAAAGAGGTCCATAGGGCAGGGCTCAGGAGCACTCCATGCTTAGAGCTTCCAGTCATTCTCTACCAGTAGAGAAGTGGACAGTGCTAACTTTTCCCAGCCATGATGTGTGACAATATACACAGAGTACTGCAGACTAGGGGAGCTTACTTGAGTCTTGCTGTCCGGAGACTTTATTGAGCTTGGTCACATAGACAAGATTGACACCTGTATGATTGACTTTGGTCTCTAGCCCTTTCAGAGGTCAATTTGATACTTTGTGGCCCAAGGCTCCCACCATAGATCACATTGTTAGCATAGATTATGTCGCAGGGCTTAAGGCCTCTAGGAAACCAAAGACACTCTTATCAGGCAGGACATTCCAAGGGCATAGAGGTTACATCCCCAGTGTTGGAGACAAAGACCAAACCTCTCTTCGGATGAAGTTAATCCTGTACTGCATAATATTCCTTTATTTTTTCCCTTTTAAACTGTTTGTTCTGCTATAACTTTTTTATGATTACCTCATGCTCAATTGGCAAATAAGAAAATGATGTTGATAAAATGTGGAATTATTTTTGGTTTATACTAGATTTTTCCCAGCATGTTAATGTTTTAAGACAACCAAGGCTTAAATGGTGGCTCACGCCTGTAATCCCAGCAATTTGGGAGGCCGAAGCGGGTGGATCACCTGAGGTCAGGAGTTTGAGACCAGCCTGACCAACATGATGAAACCCCATCTCCACAAAAAATACAAAATTAGCCAGGCCTGGTGGTGCATGCCTGTAATCCCAGCCACTTGGGAGGCTGAGGCAGGAGAATCACTTGAACCCAGGAGGCGGAGGTTGCAGTGAGCCAAGGTCGCATCATTGTACTCCAGCCTGGGCAACAAGAGCAAAACTCCATCTCAAAAAAAAAAAAAAAAAAAAAAAAAAAAAAGGACAACCAAACATATGTCTTCTCACATTTAGGAAAAAGCCTTAGCAATATTTGAAGACCTTTTTAAAAAGTCAAAAGTTATAGAAGTGTTTTACTTTAATACCAGTAGTAATTGGTTTAGTGGATTCAAGAATTGCTAAATTTCCACTATCTGGGAAGCAGCAAGTGCAGATGAAGGAACTTTTCCTCCTGTATAAAATCAATGGATTAATGAAAATGGCTGTACCTCAGGTGGAATTTTTAATCGGAATCAAAATGTTCTCTACCAGAAACACATGTCCTCAGGCCCTACATCTCAAAAGAGGAAGCAGCAGTCCAAATTACCAGGCTGCAAAGAATGGATTCACTATGATGACTGGCGGAAATTCCCAAGAGATTTTTAAATGCCTGGTTTTGGTTAGGACTTTTGTTGCTTTTGTTAATGCTCTGAGTATAAAGTTTGAGAAGTATTGAATGGAATGTCCCAACTATAGTTGTCTCCATAGGCCTTGTTATTTTTAGTCTTAGGTTTTGCAGAACCTATATGTTATAATTTCCCAAATTAGGAAAGGCCATTATTAGTCAAGCAATATCTAAACTGAAGACCCTAACCTTAGTGTAAAGACTGCAAAAGTCAAAAAAAATTTTAATAAATCTGGATTTGGCTCCAGTAAAACGGAGCTTAGGAATAAGTGTGTGTGCAGCTAAAGATTTCTATCAGCAAAAATAATGGTGCCTCATAGTAATTAACAGCTGCCACAGTGCTTTATATGCACCATCTCATTTAATTATGACAACCATCCAAAGAAGACAAATTTATTTTTGTTTTATAGAGGAGAAAAATGAGTCTCAGAAAATAAGCAACTTATCCAAAGTCACTGGCCTAGTAAGTGATAAAGCTGGGTGTGGCTAAGTTCACTGTTGATGCTCTTAACCACTCAGCTGCAACCAGCCTAGCTACTGCTCTCTAATTTGCTCCTGAAAGCTTAACGTGCCTAATATTATATCATTAAAATTATTTGTGCACATATATGAAAAAACAAATCTGACTAATTTTAGCTGAAAGGTAACATTTAATGAAGGCATATGGAGGAGCTCATGGATGGAAGACATAGCTGAGGAACCATGTTCAATACAGACAATCTACCAGGCAATCCCAGAAGGTCTCTGCCGCAGAAACTACTCAGCCCTTCTGCAGAGCACCATGCAGGAACAAATTGGTAAATTCCAATGCTTTTGTTCTTATCTTTGTACCACTCTGCTCCAGAATCAAACCCTAGAAAGTGAGTCTAATGAACACGGATGAGTTGACTGCCTGCTGGCATTAATCCTACAGTGCTGAGTAAAAAAAAACTGGTAGAAGGACCCTCTAGGTATCCTTTGGATTTCATGATGAGGTACAGGCAACCCCATGTGCCAGATTTACCAATCCAACCTGACCAAACATATTGAAGGTAATGAGATTCAAAAAAGAAAAAAAAAAGAACAAAACAAAACAAAAAAACTAGATTGTCATTAAAATGAGGGCAGATTTTTTTTGGCAAAACAGAGAAAAAAATGACCTCAACAGGGACATTCAGAAGCACTCTTGAAATGACAAAACCCTCAGTGGAATTTATAGCATAACTTTCTTTTTAATATTCCATTTCTGGGTCAATCCTTGATCCTGTTAACACTTTAATAAGCAGCAACAAAGAGAGGCATCACTGCAGAGACTGTGCAGATACTAAATCAGCTTATGTACATTCTGTCTAGGAAGACTTTTGGAACAGAGGCTGGCTTGCTGTTCATCAAATTTATTTGTGAGTTCTAGCCCATGGAATGTGAGTGGAAGTGATGTGTGCCATCCTCCATGGGCCATCTTCCATGTTTCTTCTCTGTTGACCAACTTGATACGAACATGCACAGTGACCTCACAGTCCAAGTATTGAAGATGGTGAAGATGGTGGAGCCACAGGATGAAAGGATCCTGGTCCTGCTTAGAGAAGAGATAGCTCCTGTTCTGTTACATCTATTTTTGACTTTACATGAGCAAAAAGTAAACTTCTATTAGGTTTAAGCCATTTTACATTTTAATATAGCTACTGAAACCTCGCATCTTGACTACAGCTTTTATGTAAATAAGAAATATGGCCTGTAATCCCAGCTGTTTGGGAGGCTGAGGCAGGAGGATCACTTGAGGCCAGGAGTTAAAGGCTGCAGTGTACTATGGTCAGACCACTGCACTCCAGCTTGGATGACAGAGACCTTGTCTTTAAAAGAAAAAGAAAAATGTATATTTCATATTTTAAAATAAATTTTTGGCTGGGCACAGTGGCTCATGCCTGTAATCCCAGTGCCTCAGAAGGCCGAGGCAGGAAGATCTTTTGAAGCCTGGAATTCAAAACCAACCTAGGCAACATATTGAGACCTTGTATCAAAAAAATATTTTTTTTAATTAGCTGGTCATGGTGTGTTGTGCCTGTAGTCCCAACTACTCAAGAGACCAAGGTGGGAGGATCGCTTGAGCCCAAAAATTCAAGGCTGCACTGAGCTGTGATCACGTCATTGTGCTCCAGCCTGGGCAACAGCCTAAGCAACTCTGTCTCTAAAATATATACATGTATTACATATAAAGTAAATTCTTGGCTGGGCGCAGTGGCTCACGCCTGTAATCCCAGCACTTTGGGAGGCCAAGGCAGGCGAATCACGAGGTCAGGAGTCCGAGACCAGCCTGGCCAACATAGTGAAACCCCGTCTCTACTAAAAGTACAAAAAATTAGCTGGACATGGTGGCAGGCACCCGTAATCCCAACTACTCAGGAGAATGAGGCAAGAGATTCACTTGAACCCAGGAGGCAGAGGTTGCAGTGAGCCGAGATCACGGCACTGCACTCCAGCCCAGGCAATAATGTGAGACTCTGTCTCAAAAAAAAAAAAAAAAGTAAATTCTTAAATTTACTTTAATGGCTTTAGAGCAAACACCGTCACTGCCTACTCAGACTTACATTGCCCAAAAACCTATTCCTTTCATGTTTATAATACTTCCTTGTTGGGATTGCCTTCTTAAGACTTTTTAAATTTGAAAAACCTATAAAGCCACTGTTTATTTGCTATTTATCAAACTTTAATTTGGGTTTTTTGTTTTGTTTTGTTTTGTTTTTTGCATTCTGATGTTTTTTTTTTCTTTTTTGTTTTAATTTATTTGCTTGCATGATTATTTTAGCTATAATTTTAGCTATCATTTCCCTAATTCCAAAAGAATTTGTGGTAACTGGCATTTAAAGGTTTTTTCCTAATCTTTTAACTTAGAAAGGCAATGGGTATCATAAAGCTAAGTAAGAAAGCTAAAGTTCTTATCTCTTTTCTTCTTCAAAGAGGGTAGCTTCTTTTAGATTGCAGCACAGAATTTTTTTTTTTTTAACTTCAGGCAACTCTAAACATGTGTCAGTTTCTTTAATTAAGATTTGGCATCCCCAACCATCTCATCTGACAAGAACAAGCAAGGGGGAACATATTCCCTATTTAACAAATGGTGCTGGGAGAATAGGCTAGCCATATGCAGAAAATTGAAACTGGACCCTTCCTTAAACCTTATACAAAAATTAACTCAAGATGGATAAAAGACTTAAATGTGAAACCCAAAACTATAAAAACCCTAGAAGAAAATCCAGGCAATGCCATTCAGAAGATAGGCATGGACAAAGATTTTATGACAAAAACACCAAAAGCAATTGCAACATAAGCAAAAATTGACAAATGGGATCTAATTAAAATAAAGAGCTTCTGCACAGCAAAAGAAACTATCATCAGAGTGAACAGACATCCTATAGAATGAGAGAAAATTTTTGCAATCTAGCCATCTGATAAAGGTCTGATATCCAGAGTCTACAAAGAAGTTAAACAAATTTACATTAAAAAAAAACTCAACCCCATTAAAAAGTAGGCAAAGGATATGAACAGACACTTCTCAAAAGAAGACATGCATGCAGCCAACAAACATGAAAAAAGCTCAACATTACTGGTCATTAGAGAAACGTAAATCAAAATAATAATCAGATACCATCTCATACCGGTCAGAATGGTGATTATTAAAAAGTCAAGAAAAAATGATGCTGGTGAGGTTGCAGAGAAAAAGGAATGCTTTTAGATGGTTAGTGGGAATGTAAATTAGTTCAACCATTGTGGAAGACAGTGTAGCAATTCCTCAAAGATTTAGAAACAGAAATACCATTTGAACCAGCAATCCCATTATTGGGTGTATACCCAAAGGAATATAAATCGTTCTATTATAAAAACACATGCACACATATGTTCATTGTAGCACTATTCAAAATAACAAAGACATGGAATCAACCCACATGCCCATCAATGATAGACTGGATAAAGAAAATGTGGTATAAATATACACCATGGAATACTATGCAGCCATAAAAAGGAATGAGATCATGTCCTTTGCAAGAACATGGATGGAACTGTAAGCTGTTATCCTCAGCAAACTAACACAGGAGCAGAAAACCAAACACCACATGTTCTCACTCACAAGTGGAAGCTGAACGATGAGATCACATGGACACATGGGGGGAACAATACGCACTGAGGCCTGTTGGGGAAGTGGGGTGAGGAAGAGCATCAGGAAGAATAGCAAATGGATGCTGGGCTTAATATCTAGGTGATGGGTTGATCTGTGCAGCAAATCAGCATAGCACACATTTACCTATGTAACAAACCTGTACATCCTGTGCGTGTACCCCAGAACTTAAAATAAAAATTGATGGAATAAAAAAGATTAGGCATCCCAAAACTTAATGATATATAACTTGTCCTATTTGAAAATTAGAAACATCATTTGCTAATTAGAATCATAGATCATGACTTATATGCTGGTCATATTTATGGTTGCATTAGGAATCCTATCAACCACAAAAAAAGTATGCCCTGCACTCTGTCTTTTTTTTCCTAAAAAGAAAAATAAAGCCAATCACAAGAGGGAAAATCTAAATGACATTTCACAAAGTGTTCAATCTATGCTTCCATTAGGAAAGTGAAAGAACCCAAGAATGGGAAATATTTCTTGTCACCCCAGGTGAATTTGAAGAAGTATTTTTCTGGTTGGCTTTTTCAGCAAGACTAACAACATTCTGTTCTATTGGCCTGTGGTCAGGGGTTTCCCCCAAGGTGCCTTCCATCTCTCGGCAAAGAGCAGTAACTTGGTGGGTTGTTTTCTTCTTAGTCACCTGATAGGATTTCCCAGGACAGAGGTGTCAAGCCAATTCTGACCTAACTTCCCATGTCCTTCCTGTGGGTCACCCTGAGAAAAAAGGAAATCGCTCTTCTCCCCCACCTGGTGCTGATGTCATTCCTCTCTTCAGCCCAGCGTCTCAATGCACTCAGGGACGCTTCTGCCTCTGCAAAGAGCAAAGGCTTCAAGTGATGGCCTTGCATGGTAGCATTCTCTATCACAGAGTCAGGAAGCTCTTAGACTTCCTTTTATTTGAAGAACTGCAAGGAAACCACCTGCAGAGCTCCCAAGACCTCAAGAGTTTGTTTTGCACCTTCGCTCTTCTGAGGTAATCACACCTGCTGCCACAGCTTCAATAGCTGAAGCCAAGGAGTAAAAATTGCACCAACATCTATAAATCCATATGAAGCTGAGTGGTCTGAATAACCTTACCAGATGTTTTTCTCATAGAAGAAAAAAAGTCCAAGTTATCCTCATGTGCTTTTCTTCCTCACTAGGTTTTAAGGTCCTAGAGAGTATACACTGCCTCTTAGTCTTCTTCATCTATCTCAAAGTGCCTGGCTGAGTGCTTTACATGAAGTATCCAATAATTCTTGACCATCAGACCTGGGGGGTGGAACCAGCAGGGCCATTTAGCCAGGGCTGCAAGCCCAAACAGATCTCTATTCTTCAGCTGCAAGTTAGTGCCCAAGCCACATAGGGAATAGGATGATACCTCATTACACATGCTGATGTTAGCTTTAAACTATGCCTGCCCTCTGTTTTCCTAAAAGCTGTGTTACTGCCAATCTCAAAAGCTGCTGTTCATAGTCATTCACTGTTGGACATTAATGACAAATCACTTTCATGAACTGACATCCATTTAAAGGGATTTTTTAAAAATGTGTTTATCTCATAACTGCTCCTGTTTATATGAGGATCCTGTCTTCTTTGAGATTATAATGACAACAAATGTTATTCGTTTTCTGCACTATTCATATAAACAACATAACTGGGCATAATACTTTCATGATATCATGTCATTACTAATAAATCACCTTTTTAAAACATCTCTATGATAGTATCATGGTTAACAAACAGCACAGACAAAGGAGCAAGACTGAGTTTGAGTCCAGGCTCCATCTTTTACCAGCTGTGTAAACTGTGTGAATCTAGGCAAGCTCCTTAAAGTCTCTGGACTCTACTTCACAGGTTTTTTGTGGGATTCAAATGAGTTATATGTGCAGCTCTTGGAATAATACTTGGCATATAGCAAGCACAATGTGTGCTCATCATTTTTATTTCCATTTTATGGGTTTTTTTCCCTTGTAACCTGATTTAGAAGTTGTATTTGTACATTTCTTCATGTTTAACGTATTTGTTCAGGTTAAATTGAAATATTTTACATATAGAAACTGAGGTTGGGTTACCTCAGAAACAGAGCTTGAGACAAGGATTTTTTTTTTTTTTTTTTTTTTTTGGTGGTGATTCTAGGAAGCACCAGTAGAAAAGAGGCAAAGAGATTCAGGGAAGGGAAGGAAGTCAGTTCAGGGTGGTTCCCAAAGGGAGCTACTGTAGTCAACTGAGACTCAGCCCACTATAGACCTCTGGGTGATGGTGTAGCCCATACCCCAAAGTTATCCTGCCCAAGGGACGAAGAAGTTGGGGTATCTATCCTGCGACTATCTTTAGCACTGTCTGAGCACTGCTCCCAGGGCATTAAACCCCTAGCTCTTCCAGTCTTCCTCATGTGAAAATAGAAAGAAGCCCTTAGGCCAAGAATAGTGAACTGTTACAGTCACAGGCAGAGGGTAAGAAGAGAGAGGGAGGCTGCTGAGAGGATGTTGGCAAGGCAGGTAGTATCTGCTATGAGAAGTTATTAATTATTCCCTCATATTTTTTTTCAGTTTTTATTACATCCTTTATTTTTCGGCATTAGTGTCAGTATACCAACAAGTTGCATTTGCCAGGACTTTTGTGGTGACAAGTGACGAAAATTCCAGTCACACTATTTTGATCAAAGAAAGGATCTCAGAGACAGGTACTCAAGTGTTGACAGGATTTGTCTCTCTAGCTGTCACTTCTGCTTCTCTTTGTGAGACAATGTCAATCCTGCCTCCCACAGAGCAGCATTCACCAGCTGGAAGGTAAGTTAGCCATTAAGGCATTTAATTGAAACACTGCACTAATTCATCAAATACTTGCTGAGCTACATATTTATATCATCAGGGAAATGCAAATTAAAACAACAAGATACCCACACACCCATTATGAAATGGCAAAAATCTGGAACACTGACAACACCAAATGCTGGCTGAGACGTGGAGCATCAGGAACTCTGACTGAAGGTACAGCCACTTTGGAAGACAGTTTTGCAGTTTCTTATAAAACTAACCTTACTCTCACTATACCAGCCACCAATCACAACATTCCTTTGTATTTACCCAAAGGAGTTGAAGTCTTATGTCCACACAAAAATCTGCACACAGATGTTTATAGTAGTTTTATTCATAGTTACAAAAACTTGGAAGTAACCATGATATCCTTCAGCAGATGAATGGTTTCATAACTGTGGTGTATCCATACAGTGGAATGTTATTCAGCCTAAAAAGAAGTGAGCTGTCAAGCAATAAAAAGACATGGAGGAACCTTCAATACATATCACTAAGTGAGAGAAACCAGTCTGAAGAGACTACACACTGCATGATTCAACCATATGACAGTCTGAAAAAGAAAGATCAGTGATTGCCAGAGGTTGGCAAGAGGAATGAAAAGGTGAACACAGAGCATTCTTAGGACATGCAAACACTTTGTGTGGGACTCAGAATGAGAGATACACATTCTGCCTTTGTTCAAACCCATAGAAGTTTCAACACTGAGAGTGCAAACCATGGACTTTGGATGATGATGATGCCATTGTAGGTTCATCAGTGGTAACGAGCGTACCTCTCTCATGGGAGATGTTGATTATGGGGAGAGGCTGTATATGTGTAGGGGACAGAGGGCATACGGAAAATCTCTGTACCCTCCTTTTAATTTTGCTGTGAACCTAAAAGTGCTCAAAAAAAATAAAGCCTATTAAAAAATACTTGTTGATGTGCAAGACATTCTTCTAGGCACTGAAGAAACAGCAAGAACTAACAAAAAAGGGACAAAACTCCTGTCCCCATGGGCCTTACATTGTAGTGGAGAAGATTAACATAAACAAACATGTAATTGTGTAATACAATGTCAGGTTGTGATTATGATTTGAAAAAGGAAAGCAGGAGAATGGAATAGTGCTATTTTAGATAGGGGGGTTGGGGAAGACTTTTCTGAGGAAAGAACATTTGAGCAGAGACCTGACTGAAGGTGGTGAGGGAGTCATGGACACGACTGGGAACCATGTCCCAGGCAGAGAAGAGCCAAATGGAAAAAGTCAAGACAGACGCCCCTTCAGCGAGGGCTGAGTCATAGCAGGGGTCATGTGTCTGGACCTGAGGAGCAGGCAGTGGGGTTGGAAAGATAACCAGGGGCCAGATCATGCCCCCAGAAAGCATTTTGGGTTTTATTCTAGAGGAAATGGGGTACTCTCTACTGGGTTTTGAACAAGAGAGTGACATGATCTGAGATATATTTTAATGGGATCACTGTGGTCAGCAAATGGAAATTTGGCTCTAATGGGACAAGGGCAGAAACTGAGAGGCCAATTTAGGAGGCTTCTGTACTCATCCAGGAAAATCCAACTGTGGGGCTCCAACAGTTCAAATGAATTCCCACCCAAAGAGTCAGAAAAAATATGGCAACACGCCCCCTCACAAATCATGTGTACCATATAAGCCAGCTTCTATAGAGGAAGGAAAGGTACTGGATGGACAAATAACAGGGCCCATCACATAGTTGTAATTTACAAATTACCTCACAAAAAGTGGTTATTTAAAATTTAGACACACTCCATCAGGATCATATGTCATCATTCATGTACAAATGAAGCATGTCATTAGAGCTTTGAAATTTCTGTTTTTAAAGATAGGAATGTAACTTTGTCCTAAAATAAAAATAAAATGAAAATATTGCTTTGATGAAAGCTTTATTATCATTTAAATGCACCTGCTAAAATTTAATATAACCCAGTAAATAAAAATGTATAGCAATTCTCAGAGTCAAACAAACAAAAACTGAGCTTATTATTAGTCATACTGAAAAAGAAGCTCAAAATTAGAGTTTTTTCATTGATACCCAACTAACATGCCAAAACTCAAAGAGTTGAAAAGCACTCCTGAAGGTAAATATACCCTTCTATAACCGTTATCAAATAAGACATAATTGTCTATATATTTGTCCATCTTATCCTTCCAACTTCATTTCACACTCCAGTTTTATTTGTTTGTCGAACACTAATTGTCTTTTTTTTCTCATCAGCCCTAACATATTGTAAAGTTCCATTTGTAACTACTTTAATATCCACATTATCATGCATCTTTCAGTAAAGTAAAAAATTGTCCAAGTTTCTCCATTCTCAGAGTTTTGTTTTTTGGTTTTTTTTTTTTTTGTTTGTTTGTTTTTGAGACGGAGTCTCACTCTGTCGCCCAGGCTGGAGTGCAGTGGCGCGATCTCGGCTCACTGCAAGCTCCGCCTCCCGGGTTCATGCCATTTTCCTGCCTCAGCCTCCCGAGTAGCTGGGACTACAGGCGCCCGCCACCGCGCCCGGCTAATTTTTTGTATTTTTAGTGGAGACGGGGTTTCACCGTGTTAGCCGGGATGGTCTCGATCTCCTGACCTCGTGATCCGCCCACCTTGGCCTCCCAAAGTGCTGGGATTACAGGCGTGAGCCACCGCACCCGGCCCATTCTCACAGTTTTACTACTTCTGTATGCTGACAGCCTGTCCATCTCTACCTCTAGGACAGACCTCTCTCCAGAACCTCTGATCCACCCAGCCCACTGCGGTGTAGACGGCCTAGAGCAGGTGTTATCTTGCTTAAGACTCCTTTGTTTAGAAGAATTACAAATCAGCTTAAGCTATCTTAAGAAAAAAAATTATTTAAGAACCCAGGTTTTGCTCAGAGAATCCAGAGCAGGAAGTTCAGCCATGGTTCAAGACCTTTCCCTATCTCTCTCTGGTTGTGTGCTACATAGTTGATCATCTCCACTTTCTGTGCACATTTGCCTCATTCTTTCTCCTCCTGCATCTTCCTCTGCTTCTCCTCTCACAGCTCTGGAGTTTTTACTTGTCCTATGGTTTCAACTATCTGAATCATAAATTAGAATTTCCAGTAGGAGCTGATTGATTTATCTCAGCCTTAAAGAACCCACAAGCCATTTTAAGATCTTCCCTGTGATGTGTGAAACCAGAAACTACATTTCCCAGAATCTTCTTCCTTGTATATTTCCTGGTTAGAGTTAGGCAATTGCAAGAGATTTAGAAAGTGAGATCATTATTCTCTAGAGGCGGGAGCATGAACAGATGTGAGGTTCAAAACAGCTTCCTGGCAAGCTTTTGATAATTTTCCACCTCAGTGCTACAGACTGACAGGGTGCATAGGAGCCCTGCACACAGCTCAGTGCTGTAGACTGACACTGTTGGTGGTGGCTTGCCTGACCACAGCTCCCTACAATGGTTGAATCAAGCTCTTGAGCTCTAAATCCCTACATTAAAACCTCACGCAACCTTGCAAGTGGAATAAAATACCTAAAGCAGCTTCTGTTTTCCTGGTCAAACCTTGACTGTTACACCTGAAAAAGCCAACAAACAAGGCTGCCAGGTGTGAGGTGGCTCTCAAAGCAGCTGTCTTAGTCACCCTAAACATAATCTAGCCACCCTAAGCATCCTCCTCTTGTGTTTTCTCTCCATGGTGGTGACATCAACTCTATCCAGTACCCTGAGAGGAAACCTCTCCCACATCAGCTCAGTCTCCTCAGTTCTGCCAATTTTATCTCCTAATCTGTCTAATATTTTTAGCTTTCTGTCCGTCCTTGGAAACAGCCTTATTATCTTTCCTGAACCCTGATAGCTGCCTAACTAGCTCTTGATCTCTGCTTATAGCCCCCTGAGCATCATTTTTTCAGGGATTCTTTCCAAAAGGAAAATCTGATTAGGGAAGGCCTTCCCTCAAATAAGAGTCACTCATATCTGAAAGTTATTTAACTTGTTGCAGGAGACCATCCCTGTGCTTCTGCCTACCCACCCATCCTCATGTCAGCATTCTCTGACTCCCATTTTAAACTCCAGCATTGCCATCTGGATTTCAGCACCAAGCTCTTGCTGAACCCACTGTCAGCTGATGGACCTGATAACTTCTACTTTTTAAGACTCAGGTTGGACATCACTTGTTCCAGGAGGCTTTTTTTTTTTTTAAGATGGAGTCTTGCTCTGTCGCCCAGGCTGGAGTGCAGTGGTGTGCAATGGCACAATCTTGGCTCACTGCAATCTCTGCCTCTCGGGTTCAAGCAATTCTCCTGCCTTAGCCTCCTGAGTAGCTGGGATTACAGGCATGCACCATCACATAGGGCTAATTTTTGTATTTTTAGTAGAGATGGGGTTTCACCATATTGGCCAGACTGTTCTTGAACTCCTGACCTCAAGTGATCCGCCTGCCTCGCCTCCCAACGTGCTGGGATTACAGGCGTGAGCCACCGCGCCCAGCCTCAGGAAGCTTTTGATGATTCACTCAGGTTGAATGCAGTTCTCATCCCCTGTGTTCCCTTAATATATTATATATAGCTCTGTCACTGTACTGATCATATTATCTTATAATTTTGTTTATATGCTTTAAGCTAGGAAGTTTTCCAGGACAAGAAATTTTGTTTTACTCATCTTTGTAATCCCAACATTTAGCACAGAGCCTAGCACATAACAGATGCAATTTATTATAAATGATTAATGAAAAAAAATATGAGATTTTTTGGGAGGCCGAGGTGGGCGGCTGAGGTCAGGAGATAAAGACCATCCTGGCTGGCACAGTGAAACCCCATCTCTACCAGGCGTGGTGGCGGGCGCCTGTAGTCCCAGCTACTCGGGAGGCTGAGGCAGGAGAATGGCATGAACGTGGGAGGCGGAGTTTGCAGTGAGCGGAGATCGCGCCACTGCACTCCAGCCTGGGCAACAGAGAGAGACTCCGTCTCAAAAAATAAAAAAAGATAAAAAATAAAAATAAAAAGAGATTTTTAACAAAATGAAAAGACAAGCCACAAACTGAAAGAAAATATCTGCAAAACATATATTCGATGAACAACTGGTATCCAAAATATACCGTAAACACATAAAGTTCAACAATAAGAAAATAAACAACTTGATTTTAAAATGGGCAGAAGATCTGAACACACACGTCACCAAAGAAGATACACAGATCACAGATAAGCACATAAAAAGATGCTCAAAATCATATATCATTAGGGAATCACAAATTAAAACAACAAGACAACCGCTAGATACTTATTAGAATGGCAAAAATCCAGAACATTGACAACATCAAATGCTGGCCAGGATGTTGAGCAACAGGAATTCTCATTCATTGCTGATGGGAATGCAAAATGGTACAGCCACTATGGAAGCCAATTTGTTAGTTTCTTACAAAACTAAACATAGTTTTGCCATACAATGCAGCTATCACACTCCTTGGTATCTAAACAAATATGTTGAAAACTTATGACCACACAAAAACCTGCACAGGAATGTTTTATTTATAGCAGTTTTATTCATAGTTGCCAAAACTTGGAAGGAACAAAGAAGTCCTTCAATAGGTAAGGGAATAAGTAAATTCTGATACATCCAGACAATGGAATGTTATGTTGTGATAAAAAAGAAATGAGCTATCAAGCCACAAAAAGACATGGAAGAAAATTAAATGCATATTACAAAGTGAAACAAGCCAATCTGGAAGGCTACTCAGGATCGCCTGAGCCCAGGAGGTGGAGACTGCAGTGAGCCATGATCGATCGCACGCCTGAACTCCAGTCTTGGCAACAGAATGAGATATTGTCTCTATAATTAATTAATTATATCAGTAGTTGTCATGGAGCTCATGGGAAAGGAGAGAGGGATGAATGGGTGGACCACAGGTGATTTTTAGGACAAATTCTATTCTGTATGATACTGTAATAGTGGATACATGTATCAAAACCCATAGAATGTATAACACAAAGAATGAACCCTTATGTAAACGATGAACTTTAGTTAATAACATATCAAAATTGTCTCATCAAGTGTAACAAATGTTACACTAATCCAAGATGCTAGTAACAGGGGAAAATAGGGAGGGGGATATGAGAACACTACCCTGTTCAAATTTTCTATAAACCTTAAAGTGCTCAAAAAATAAAAAATAAAGCACATATAATATGATTTTACCAGTGCTATCAACATGCCTTCCATAAACCTCTGGCCCCTCCAATTTCTAGTCCCTGCCCTCTCGGGATCCCGCCCACTGGTAAATCTCTAGCCCATTCACTCACTCTTGGCTGTTGCTTCTCCTTACACTTTTCACCCACCTTTGAAGCACGCCATTTCCTCCTGTTTCTTTTGGCTGAGTTAGTCCACTTGTGGTGCATTCCATGCCCTGGATGTTTCCCCATCTGGTATCTTCCTTTCTCTCAAAGGAAACTCTTTTGGGGTCATCAGTAAAAGGATCAAAGCACACAGAACCCAAGCGGCTTATTCATTTTGGGGTGTGGACTTATCACAGATGATAAACCTACATGGTCCAGTCTAGATGAATGGGAATAATACATCTTTATTTTTGACCATCTCGCTTGCTTATACCATAAGTAATTTCCTGAAGGTCTTAATTTTCTGGAAGCCATGCTGGAGGCAGGAGTGATTTAGAAAGATGATCTTTATTATACTTGGCTTAAAGCAAAAGGATTTAAAACATGACCTTTATGTTATTTTTCCAAACTAATAATGGAAGTGGTATTAGGGTAATATATTTATAGGTGAGATTCCAGGGCTGATTTAGTAAATATTAATTTCTAATACTTTGTCATTCCCACTGCATTATTCTCCTATAGCTGTCACAACAAATCACCATAAACCGGGCAGCTTAAAACAACAGAAATTTGTTCTCTCTCAGTTCTGGAGGCTAGAAGCCTGAAACCAAGGTGTCGGTAGCACCATGCTCCCATGCTTCCTTCTAGGGAAGAATGCTTCCTTACCAGTTCTGGCTTCTGCCTATTCTTGGCACTCCTTGGCTTGTGGCAGCACAACTCCACTCTCTGCTTCCATCTTCACATGCCCAACTTCCTTCCATTTATGTGTATCTGTGCCAAATTTCCCTCTTCTTATAAGGACATCTGTCATTGGATTAGGGTTTACCCTAATGAATTTGGGGAGGACCCTATTCAATCCACTACAACCACCCTTTATGTACACGTAGCTGGTTTCTCTGTCAATTATATTTTAGAGTGAGGACGTTGCTTCTCCTCTAACAAGATATTATAATAACAATTATTGTCAAATTATTTAATGAATGCTTACTATATGACAGTTACATGCATTAACTCATTTAACCCTCTGACAATTCTATGAAATAGGTGCTATTTTTATTTCTATTTTGCAGATGAGCAGCCAGAGAGAGTTTACATAGGGCAAATATCACCATTACCTAGCAAGAACAAAATAAGAGGAATAAGCAGTCCCCTTGTATTTTGGTTACTTAAAAGGGATGGATCTCAAGACAAAGGAAAATGGTTGGGTGCACGAGGGGCCAGATGCTGGAACCAGTTCTGAAGAAGTGTTCCTGGGGCCAAGAGGATCTGAGAGGTGGCCAGGTGTGAAGACTGAACAAGCTGAGCGTTAAGAACAGCAAAGTTGGCCAGGCATGGTGGTGCATACCTGTAGTCTCAGCTCCCTGGGAGGCTGAGGTGGGAGGAATATGAAGGCCCAGGAGTTCAAATCCAGCCTGGGCAACACAATGAGACCCTGTCTTAAAAAAAAAAAAAAATCAGCAAGCTGGGAAATAAACTTGGGGCACACTGGGCACTTCGTCATGAGGAAACCAAAATCTCCTGCCTTGGCAAGCTTCAGGAGCCATATAAGGACTGAGCCAGCCTCACCCATTACACTGTGTAGGGACACTCTTCAGCAACGACATCATGTGGCAGAAGAAAACATGGCCATAGGGGATTCCTTCATTGTGCAATTACCTATAAGAAGAAGAAAAGGAAGAAAAGAGGAAGAAGAACGAGGAGGAGGAGGAGGTCTAAAAAGGAAATGCTTAAATTCTTGCTGAAAGGTGAGTGAATTTTGGAGTTCAATGTAACAACCAATAAATAACATCTCTCTTCTCTTCTTGGTTCTGTGCCCATTGAAAAATACGACAAAGAGTGAAACAAATGGAAAAGCAAAGTATTATCCTCTTTCTGATAAAGCAAATAACAGAGAATGTAGCTCTAATTTGTGGGCAAATGGGGGTCTTAAAACTGAACCTCAGAATTTAATATTTAACCGACTTCTGGTGCTGGACAGGATGGACACCCTCTCCAAGACCCTGGGGGAGCAGGACAAAGCCAGTGCTCCCCAGAGGTGGTCACTCCCAGGAGGAAAAGCAGAGAGATGTGGAAGGGGCTGGGTACATGTGCCCTGTTTGTCCTCCCAAACACAGCAGGCAGAAGAGTCACTCCACCCAGGGCAAAGTGAAGGAGAGGGTGGAGGGAGATTGGGAATGCTGTGCTCATAGATCTCTCTTGACAAGAATGGGGAGAAAAGTTCCACACCAAAGGAGGGCAAAGCCAGAGAAATAGGGAAGAGGTCTCGGGATCTGCACAGTGAGTTTGTGGAGCGTAAACTCCACGTCAGTTTATGTGGCTACACATAAAGATAACTCCAATAAACCACCTTCAGGGAGCCTGCTCGAAGTACTTGGCATGCTGGCTCCTTACACGGTTTCACTTAACATAATGTTGTTACATAAGTACATCTACCTATCTTTTTTTTCTTTTCTTTTTGTTTGATTCATGCCCTTTTTTTTCTTTTCTTTTTGTTTGATTCATGCCCTTTTTTTTTTTTTTTTTTTTTTCTTGAGTGAATCCTAAGTCAGGAGGCAGTAGGGGTTAGCAATTTAAAGCCCAGACAAAAAATTCTGGTTCAAATCCTAGCTCCATCTTCACTAATTGTGTGACAATGGGCAAGTTACTTAGCTTTTTAGGATCTTACTTTCCTCAATTAAAAGTAGGGAAGAAAATAGCACCTATCCCATAGAGTTGCTGTGAAGAATAAGTGTTGTTGGGTGGCTCATGCCTGTAATCCTAGCACTTTGGGAGGCCAAGGCAGGTGGATCACTTGAGCTCAGGAGTTTGAGACCAGCCTAAGCAACAAGGCAAAACTCTGTCTCAACAAAAAATGCAAAAATTAGCCTGGTGTGGTGCCTTGCACCTGTAGTCCCAGCTACTTGGGGGGCTGAGGTGGGAAGATCACTTGAGCCCAGGAAGTCGGGGCTGCAGTGAGCTGAGATGGTGAGGCTGCACTCCAGCCTGGGTAACAGAGTGAGACCCTGTCTCAAAAAATCAATTAATCAATAAAGTGTTGTTGATGTTTATGAAACCCTTAGAGCTCTACCAGGCATACAGTGAACTACGATGTTGTTGATGATGATAATCATCTTTATTGGCACATGCCAGGACTTGATAACCTTAGTTTGTAATGTGAATCCTATTTAAAAGTATTTAAAAGTATTTCCACTACAACTTAAGAAACTGTCATCCAGTGCAAAGCTCAGGGTAGACAGCAGAGAGTTGGATTTAGCCATGATTGATTGGAGTTTTTCCAGGAAAATACGATGAAGGAAGACAAGAACAAATGACAGACCATGGAATTGAGGCTCGATAATGAGAGAAGTAAAGACATAAAGTGGAGAGGAACCGTGAAAAGATGCTAGGAATAATGTTTTTTTTCAATTCCATTGGAATTTAATGACAGCTAGAGTGGGTTATAGAAAGGGCAAGCTGAAAAGTCATAGAGTAGGAGTCATGTCATTGAGATAATGTGGGGAATGGGGGCTGTTGCTATTACAATGCAACTTCTAGGATCCTCCCAATGGGAAGAATTGGCTAAAGTAAGATAAAGGGCAAGATCTGAGTGGAAGGGAGATCAGGAATGGAGAGACCAGCGTGTTTGAAGTACCACATGTACACATATTGAAGTGTATGATATGAGGTGGTGTTGGAGAGTGTGACAGTGAGCAATAGGTAAAATCTTTCTAGAATGAGGAGGAGCACCTGAGGGATCAGTACATGATGACCATGGGGATTAGTGCATAATGTAGTCTGATGATAGGATATTTAAAGCAGGAAGACACTAAAGAGTTTCAAGAAGAAGAGAGGGAGAATGGGGTGTGCCTTGATGAAACACAAGAATGGTACTTAAACGACCTCCACCTACATGCCCAGGGTGCAAAAGAAAAGGGAAAGAAAACAGATGCATCTAGAGAAATCTGCAAAGGAACCAGGTCTCCAAGGGACAGTCTGGTCAGTTACAGTAAGAAAGCAAAGTTCAGAGAAAATGTTAAAGATATAAGGGATCTTGCTGGTGACTGACAGTGAGTTCAGGGGACACACTGAAAGGGTTTCAGAAGCTGGAGATAGGTGGAAGATGAAGTGAGGGAAAAGGAAGTGCAGTGCCATCACGGAAATGAAAGCCTTGGGACGGAGGGGTCACCTGGATGTCCTGGGCTTCTTGGGCCCTCCGTCCTAAACAAGCATAAAGAGCATCACGGGATTATCCTTGGTAGTCTCAAAGCTGAGAGTCATGGGGAGGCTGTGAACATTGAAGATCCTACCAGGGACACAAAATTACGGGTCCCTTCTTCAATCCTGCCTGTGGTTAGCAGGAGGTTGAGGGAGCGATGGTCCTATTTCCCAGAGGAATAAGAGCTCTGGGCTCCTTCAGGAAACCTGGGGAAGAGGATGCCCAAGTCTGCATGAATACCAACAGATGAGGCCATCGGAAGAAGGGCTCCTAAGAAAGAGAAACCACACACAGAAAGGAAGAAGTGAATATGACCCATGCTCACACACCAACATGCCTATAGCCAGGAGGAAATATGAGAGCTAGGAGGGAATTTAGGAGTCTCTGAATTGAAAGTATTCGTTTCAGTGAGGAGGAAACTGAAGTTTAGAGACGTAGAATAAACTTATTGTAAGAGGAACCTATGTAATATGTCTTAGAAAGCTCTCTTTCAAAATCATTATCCAAAAAGGAAAGAATGGGCCACTTAAAGGAGTATTGATTTATTAATCGGGAAATTTGCTTATGGAAAATAGGCAAAACTTGCTTCGAAATGCTTATCACAATCCACCTAAAATTTCTGTTGGCAGCATCATTATCTGTAGCTGCTTCAGTGGTGACACTAATAAATTCACATTACAGAATAGTAGTAAAGGATTTATTTTTCTTTTACATTTTATATTATGGTCACCAATTGTGAGCTCTGAAGTAAAATGTCCTGTTACATGACAAATTTAAAACAATACATTTTAGAATTTACCTTGACAACACTCTCAGAGAAGATTATTTTAGAAACTATTGATAAATTAAAAATCTAAGTGAATTATATGCCTAAAAGCTTTCTTTTAAGTGATACTTGAGGGGAAAAAAACGTCATCCCAACATTTTTAGACATTGAACTTTACAAGTGTAGAAATGGTCACAGAAAGCCTATGTTATTCTGAAATATATTTTGTTTCAGCTATGTTTGTGAAAATTGACCAGCTACTTGACAAATCTAGATTTTCTTAAAGGCACTCAACTAAATGCTATTGTCTCCTAGGACTTGTCTTGGCCATTTTGATTATCATAACTCTCCAATATAGGCTTTAGGATTTCCAAATTCATACTCTGAAGCCCAAAATTATTCCCACTATAATTTAGAGTTAGCCTTTGAAATAACTTATAGAAAGCATTAATTGATTCCATATCTAGGGGCCTTCTGAGTTGTTTATAACTTATATATATCTACATATATATTTATTGATAAAATTTTATTTTTAATATAATTTACAACCAGATTTCTCTTACAAAAAAGATTCAATCTATTTTAAAAGTATGATAATCAATTATATTATATAATTTGTGCCACAATTCATACTTATCTATTGATTTAGAAACCACATTCAAGATAATCCTCTCTACCAAGAATTGGCCCCCAGCGTAGCAGCAAAGCACCATTAACTATCATTTCCACCGACAGCTGAAGTTGTGGTTTTGCATTCAGCACTTTTTTCCTTGTGTGGAGTATAGAACAAAAGATGTTACTAATGTAATAATGTGAGTCATCATCCAAATCTGTGGTTACTACTACCATGAAAAGTTTTCTTTCTCAGTAGGAAAGTGTCATTGGTCATTCCCAAGATGTTACAGATGAACAGAAAAAAAGTGAATATCGTTGGCACTTCCATTTTATCTAGGAAATAAAACTGAGTTCCTCACTTGTGGGTAAAGGCAAGTCACTGTGGTGACACACCATGTTTTTTCAGTAGATGAGGTGAGCAGGAAGCAGCAATCTGAGATGTCTCTTCAGTGCATTTCACACTTACGACATTCACTTTGTTTCAATAAATACAAATAGCAAACATAAAAATTATTATCTATATATACTTATTAAAATCTCTTCTAATCTCCTCCAAACATATTTATCATATCAGCATTTTGCTTCCTTAAATGTTTTTCTTATTCTTTGAAGAGAAATCCAGTAGTTGTTGTTTTTCTTCTTCTTCATTAATAATACACTTTTCTAGCTCTGCTTCATCTCAAGATAACCATTTGTGTGAACTGGTGTTTTCCAAACTGTTTTCTAGGTAACAAGGCATTTGATCTGACTAAGTGCCTACAAGGCCAATGTATTCTTGGAAGAAACAATCTTCTAGAAACTCATATTAAACAAAGTTAAAGAGTTGTTTTAATGTGGAACTTCTCCAACCTGTAACATTCTGATGGGCTTTATAATTCCCCATACAGAAAATATAGTTTGCACCATTTTCTTAAACTTGTTAAATAAGAAAACACTTTTGTAAGTTTAAAACAGGAAAACTAATATGTTGAGGAAATACTATATATTCCATGCAATAGAGTGAGAAAAGCTGATTTCAGTCACACATTTGTTTCTTTCTTATGGGCAAAGTACACCATTACTTTGTGGTTAGTGCTTGCTGTTATGTCCAAGGCATCTATATTATTATGATGACCAGATATTCATGGTTTGGTGCCAACTTCAATTATGTGGTCCCATTGTCCCTCTGAGCATGTTAGAACTTTTCAGAGTTTGCTGCCCAATTTTTCATTCAGAAAATATATTCTCTGCATATATGGATAAATAATTTGGTAAATCAAAAGAACATAATCTTCCATAGTTAAGAAGTTGTTTCTGCCATTTGTTAAAAGTAACCAGATAACTAAGAAGCTTACCTGAGAGAAAATAAGGCACAACAGGTGAATCAGAGAATTGTAAAATCTTCTAGATCATGGCTTTAACTTCTTTCATGATAATTATGTGATGCTACTAAAAATATTTAACATCCCCAAGCCTGTTTCTACATCCACATAAATTACAAAACCAAAATCAATAATCTTTTTACTCTCTACTCCTTAGTCATTGTAAGGATCCTTCAGGTCTGTGCAAAAATGTCACCTCATTGGTGAGCTTTTTCCTGACCAGCCCTTTTTTTTTTTTTTTTCGGAGACAGAGTCTCCTCTATCACCCAGGCTGTAGTGCAGTGGTGTGATCTCAGCTCACTGCAAGCTCCGCCTCCCAGATTCACGCCATTCTCCTGCCTCAGCCTCCCAAGTAGCTGGGACTACAGGTGCCTGCCACCACACCCGGCTAATTTTTTTGTATTTTTAGTAGAGACAGGGTTTCACAGTGTTAGCCAGGATGGTCTCAATCTCCTGACCTCGTGATCCACCCACCTCAGCCTCCCAAAGTGCTGGGATTACAGGAATGAGCCACTGTGCCCAGCTCTGATCAGCCTTTTTTTTAAGAGCAAACCAGTCCCCGCCCTTCCCCAGTCCCTGAAACCCCCCCACTCCTGCTTGTTTGTTCTTGTTATTCTGACATCCTTTATGTTTACTCCTTTGTTTATTTCTGTGTCCCCCTATCAAGAATGGTATGTTCACCTGTTTAACGTTTAGGACAGAGCCTGACACTTAATAAGTAAAACAAATAAATCTTTGTTGGCTAAATGAGTAAAATACACAATGTAGTAAAATTTGAGGAAACACTTGGAAAGCTATATCAGAATAAAACAGCAGAACCGTAAATAGTTTCCACAAAATCAGGTACATAGAGAAAGCTCAGCATGTATTTATAGGTAATCTTCAATCACACTGGGAAATTAACCAAAAGGGAATATTCATTGTGGGCTACAGTGGCCATGCAAGACTTAGTAGAGCAGAGGAGATCATGAAGAAAATATATAATTTATCTTGAAATAAAAGAGTAGAGAAGACATAGCAGATGGACAATCTGGCACACAGAAGGACATGAAAGCAGAAATAAGCTTGTCTCGTGTTGGGGGCTTTTTAAAAAAATAGACTGATCTTGAAGGAGGCATACATGTCAAAGGGTAATGAGAGATGGATTTTTAAACTTATTCAGTCATTTATTTGACAAACTCTTGTTGAACACCTACTATATGCTGAATTTTAGGTTAGGATTGATGAGAGTAAAAGGCCAGATAAGGACTCCCTGAATGTCAGGCTAACGAGTGAGAAAATGCTCATGCTGCCTCATGGGATTATTTTAAGGGTTAAGAAAACAGTGCACCCAAAGTGCCCCATAGGCCATTTTGCTCTATGATAATATAATCTGTATCATTACCCAGCTGGTGATTGGTCTGGTGAAAACAACACGTTAGGCCATGCATTTAACCAAATGGCCACAGCCAATATATTTCTGAGGATCATGGAACGTGTCAGAATTTAGAAAGCACAGTTGTGGGGAAAGCAGAATAGCAACAAAATAGATTAAGCACCATCAACAAACAGAGCTATTTTATGTTTTAAGAACAGAAATTTCTAAAAATAAGTTATAAACTCAACCTTTCCAAGAATGGAGCCAGACTCTTAAAAAAAATCTATTCTGAAACTAATAAAACATACTTCTACTGCCTCTTTTAGAAGTTGTTGAGTGGAAAATTACAAGTGGTTAAAAGAAATAAATAGCTGTCTATAAGAGCTAACATCTATTCAGAGATATGGAGAAAAAGCAAACATATGCCATGTTCCTCAAAGCAGTCTTCTGCCACAGATTAATAGCGAGAATCATCCTCAAAACATCTCTTAATATGAGAATTACTACTTTTATCCTCAAAGAACTGATAATGCCTCTTTTCATTCTGACAAACTTGACAAAACTTCTGCTGCATGTAATAAATCATGCTTAATTCGTCCACTAGACTCTTTTGAGCCCCTATTGTGTTCTAAGCTGTCCTTTAAATGTTGGCAATACAAAGATCAACAAGGTATAATCCCTGCTCTCGAGGAGCCTTTGATTTGGTGGGAGCATCAGACAAGGGAGTCAAAGGTTTCAATACAGTGTGACAAGTGGCATTCTACAAGTATTAACAGGTATCATGACAGCAAGAAGAATTCAGAGAAGGAATCTCATTTGACTAGGGATGGGAGTGAGAATATGAGAGGTGGCAAAAATGAACAGATGGGTAGGGTCACAGGTAATATGCACAAGACCTCTCTTCTCATGAAGCTTACATTTTAGTAGAGTCAAAGAAAGGAAGATAATAAACAAGGCAATCAACAAAGAAACAAGATAATTTCAAAGCATGAGGATAATATGAAGGAAATAACAAAGGTGATTTGGAATTACTAGGAGTGGATGGAGATCCTTCCTCAGCTGGGTTGGGAACGTCATGTCAAAGGAAGAGACCCTTGAGCTGACACGTAAATGAAAGGAACGGACTGTGGGAAGGCCTGGGGAAGGGTACTCCAGGGAGAGGAGCTAGCATCTACAAATGCCCAAGACAGAGCTGAACTTGCACTTTTCAGAAGCAGAAAGGTCAGCTAAGAGACAACACAGGCCAGGAGACAAGGTCAGAGAGAAAGGCTAGGCAATTAATGTAGGTCTTTCTTGGCCAGATAATAAGGTTTATTCTCAGTGCAAGGGAAGCCATTGAAAGGCATCAAACAGGAAGGGATATGCTTTGATTTACACTTCTTAAGTTCTCTCTAGAAGCTCAATGAAGCTGGATTCAGGGGCAAGGTATGAGTGGAAACAATGAGACCAGTTAGAAGGAGGACTCTTCCAGTGTCCAGGTGAGACATGGCAGTGACCTGGGCCAGGGTATACTAATGGGGATAGGAGAAGCGGAAGGATTTGAGATATATTGGGGCGGTAGAACTGCAAGAATGTGCTGATGAATTTGGTTTGGGATATGAGGGAAAAGAAGAAATAAAAAATCCCTGTAATTGCAAAAATGGCCCTAGCAATTGAGTAGGTGACAATTTATCATATAATAATAACAACTTATGCGTATAAAGTTTTTATTATATAGCAGTCATGGCTCTAACCTCTTTACATATATTACCTCACATGAACCCCACAACAACCCTACAAGATAGGTACTATTCTCATCCCTATTGTACAGACAAGGGAAGAGAGGGACGGACAGATTAACCTCACTTTGTTGTTAAATTACAGCCTCTATGTGAAGCTTTATCGGCTTCAGAGTCTGTGTGCTTAACCATGATATCTTTACGTTTTGTATTACCAGGTTGTGGAATACTAGAGAATGAACTGATTTTAGAAGGAGAAACAAATTTTCCGGTTTTGACATATTGTTTTTGAGATGTCTTACATGGAAATATCGAGTACATAATTGAATGTGTGAGCATGGAATTCAGGGACTAGGTCAACCCTGGAGACATTAGCACACTGATAGTATTTAAAGCCATGGGGTTGAATTAGCTGTATAGAGAGCAATAGAGTACATGGAGATTACAAGAAGCCACAACTAGCCCTGAGTCCTCCAATCTGTAGTGTTCTGATAGAGAAGAAACTCACTTGCAAGATCAAGAAGCAGCATCTAAGTGAGGCAGAAAGAATCCCAGAGGAGAGTGTGGATTTTCAGAACTGAGTGATTAACATGTTGGCTTGATTCTCAGCCAGTCTCTGTCCTCATGGTGGCAAGATGGCTGCAGCAATTCCAACCAATACTCTTCCAAGCTTATAGTTCATAGAAAAGAGAAAGACTCATTTTCCAGAACTCATTTATAAATCCTGGAATCCACTCTGATTGGGCCTTGTTGGGTCATAGGCCCATTCCTGAATCTTCACCAATCATTGTGACTAGAGGACCCTAGAGTAGGCTCCCAACCACAACATATGGATGAAAGGCTGGGACTCAACCATCCTCTATGCACTGTACCTTGCAGGAAATTATTACCAAATTTTGCAAATGACTAAAAAGTACCAAAGGGACATAATTTCTGTGAAGAGAATGCTTTCTCACCAGTTCCAAAAAAAGTCTCAAAAGGTCATCTTATTATGCAAAAGTTAATGACACTTGTGGCTGTCCATGTCTAACCCCCAAATGTACCTTCTCATCTAAGCCACTCTAAGCCTAATCTAAAAGGACTAAATCATAAATGATATGGGTAAATGGAAAATAGAAAACATTAGAGCTTCATTTGAACCAACCACTTTGAAAATAGTTCTGTTTAAAGGATATGTGACCACATGGTTGGGAGCCATTTTACCTACCACTTACAAGAGTTTCTATCCTGTCATAGAGGGTGAGATTGGGAACCAGCCACGGTTGGAATTTTTAGCATCCTTGGCAACGGGGTTCTGTTGGTTCTTTCCCCTTATCTTTGAACACAGAGTCCACTCATTTACTCATTCAAGAGAAGTTTATTGAGCACATACTTGTGTAAGGCACTGTTTAGATACTAGACATACAACAGTGAACAAAACACATGAAAGTCCCTCCCCTCATGAAATTCAAACTCTAGTAGAAGAAGGCAGACAATACTAAATGGAAATAATATGTAAGTAGTTTATATAGTATGTTAGAATGTGATACATGTTTTGGAGAGGGAAAAATGAGATGTGAAATGTCATGGTAAAAGGTTTGCAATTTTAAAGAGGATAGCCACATCTCTTAGATACTTTTATCCATCTTTATGAAGAATTTATTTATACCAAGTACCTTTATTTATGAAGCATTTTTTCTTAAGAAGTTAAAAACATAAAACCAGTGATACACCAAGGTATTTAATGGAGGGGGAAGAGTGGGCTCCCGAAGACACCAGGGCAACATCTCTCATCCTTAAAGGCTGCTGGGAGTTAATGGATGGAAGTTAATTAATGGGAAAGTAGCGCAAGTATTTCTCATCCCAAATCAGTAGGATGATCTGCCCTCTTATTTTGCAGGAGTGGGAAGAAGAGGGAGCTTGGAGAAGCTTTGAGCAGGTCCTGAATAGGCAAGTGAGGGGCTTGCCTTAACCCTACAGGATTCTCAGTCTCCACGTCTACCTCCCACAACATGTGCAAATGCTTACATTCATGGTGGGTTTCTCCCTCTCCCTTGGATCCCCAAAGCAGCAAGAGCTGGTGTGGAGCACTCCCCAGTCTAGGCTGGGGGACGCAAGGAGAAGCCATCCTCACAGCAGTCTCTTCCTGAGAGATGCTAAGGCGGTGGAGAGACTGCATAATGTGCCTTTCCAGGGGGTGTTTCTCTCTATTGATTATTTGAACTGTTAAACTTGATTACATTTTACTTTAATTGTACCATTTGAAATTAGATTCAGGTAAGATTTCAAACTTATTAAATAAATGGCCCATAGGACATTTGGGGGAATGTCTCAAAAAAGAAAAATGTAAATAGAATCTACATATAAAAGTGATCAATTTAACAAGCTTTAAGGGGAAGGCAAAGTAAAACAATATGATGTAATTTGCAGCCACCAGACCGGCAAAAATATTCAAATATTGATAATATCCAGTTTTAGCAAGAAAGAATGTGGGGAAAAATTAGCAATGAAATAGTTATGAAAGTACTTTGGCAATATTTGGCATATGTTCTGATCCCACAATCCTGCTTCTAGAAAGCATTTCTGTAAAAATAAGAGCACAGATTAGGACACACATTTACAGCCTGTGCTATATGAACAAAGCTGAAATTAACTGGGACTACCGAATAAATAAAATACATTATATTTGCAAAATATATAATTCATAGCTAATATGACATTTTAATTTTTATATAAAAATATATTTTTATATCTGCCCATATGCATATGCATGCATGCATACCCAGACATGTGTATACACACATTTACATACCTGGAAGGATGTTCCCGATGTGTTAAATGGAAAGAGCTAGTTGAAGGGTAGAATAAATGATATGATAACGTTTTTGTTTCTAGAGAAGGGAAAGATACTCTATATGAACATATATTTATATTGTTGTTGGAAAAATTTAAAAGTTGTGGGAAAATCCCCACAAACTGCCATCATTGGCTCACTTGGGAAAGTAGAGGTGGAAAGGCAGTGAGCTATGATTAGTTTATATACCTTGGTGTTATTTCAGTTTTACAACAAACATATATTACTTTTTGTAATATAGGAAACTATAGGTTTGTAACTAGGAAAATATATATAAATTTCAAGAGGACAGATTTCAGATTAATATGAATAATTTTCTAATAGGCAGGATTATTTGGATTTAGCGAGGGCTCTTCAAGGGGTCACTAGTCTTTCTTAATTGTGAGCGGTCAAGCATAAGTTAGATGAGGACAGTGTTAGGAAGGAGATTCTGGTATAAGATGCAAAGTTGGACAATGTAGCCTCATTGGTCTTTTTAAATTATGACATGCCAGGCTTCTACAAAGTCCACATTTCAAGGCGTTTCTGCGTTTGGCCAAATGAGATGCTAGACTCTCATTTCAATGCATTTTTGCGTCTTTATTTACTTCAAATTAGTAAGAAATGTTGAAACCTAGAGTCATCCTAAACTATTTCTTTAGCTCTGATCCCCCCTCAAGCAGCAAACAAAATTACAACACAATGTTGTAAGTGCTATTCTGAAGATGTGCTTTGCAAGGTGACTCTAAGCCAGCCTAGAAGTGGAGGGATCAAGGAAGGGTTGCTGGAAGAGGTGACACCTGAGCTGAGTCTTAAAGGATGTTTTCTCAAGGCTCACCTCCTCTGCAGAGTGCAGACCTCCACGTCGCTGCACTTTGCACACGTCTCCATGATCGCTTGCATTGCACTAATTGTCTTTGATATGTATCTTCCTTCCTAGTTTCTAAATTGCTAGGGAGAAACTATGAGTTTTATTTATCATTACACCTCAGCCATGACTGCATGACTAGCAGAACATTCAATAAATATTTATAGAATCGATTGGTTTTCATTTTAGTTCATAACTCACAGACGTAGTGAAGGACATCCATTCTTATGAATTCTCATGATGAACATTAATTCACAGCACAGTTCTGCATCTGCTTTTGAGTTTGTTGTTGTTGTTGTTGTTGTTGTTGTTTTGAGACAGAGTCTCACTGTCACCCAGGTTTGAGTGCCATGGCACGATCTTGGCTCACTGTAACCTCCACCTCCCGGGTTCAAGCGATTCTCCTGCCTCAGACCCAAGTAGCTGAGATTGCAGACGTGCGCCACCAAGCTCGGTTAAGTTTTGTATTTTTAGTAGAGACAGGGTCTCACTATGTTGGCCAGGCTGGTCTCAAACTCCTGACCTCAGGTGATCGGCCCGCCTCGGCCTCCCAAAGTGCTGGGATTACAGGCATGAGCCAATACGCCCGGCCTATTTTTGAGATTTTCTGCTGCTACTCCAGCTTAGCCTGACAGAGCTTTCACTTTTTGTTCCTACCCCTTCGTGTGCATCTGAACAATCCACAAGCCTCACGAACTCCTGTGGCTTCCCTCCCTTCGAGCTGTATCCACCATGACCTCTTGACCAGGGCTGAGGGAGAAGGAGGAGGGTCGTGCCACTATCCTAGCACCCTCTGTCAAGAGCCACAGTCATCAGAACCATGGAGTGACTGACTGGGTGAGTGTGCTTTCGTCCTTCCATCTCCGGAAAAAATGACGGGAGCTCTGAAACCATTTTGAAACCTGAACATCGTGGCTTGACTTTTTCTAAACTGGTATCTGTGGGCAGGTTAAAATGATCTGGTTCTAATTTCATATATTTCTAAGTTTGAGGCAGAATGAGGCAGTGGAAATTCATTATAATGCAGTGTTTCCCAATGTGTGAGACACGTTCTGCCCAGAGTTTGCAAAATGATTCTATATGTACGCATATAAACATGTTTTGGTTAGGAATGTATTTGTTTAAGTTATCTACTTTTAAAGTCACATATTTATTTACGCTTCAGTTGGGCCAAAGAAAATAACGTGTTAATTTAAATTCATTGTTACACAAATAAGAGTATAAGTGCACTTGGAGAATCAAAGTCAGGAAGCACTGATATATTCCATTCCTCAGGGTTCAGGGCCTGCTCTAGGTGCTGGGGGCCCTAGAGAGAATAAAACAGACAAAAGCCCAGCCCTCCAGAGCCAATATTCTGATGTAGTAGAGACCGTCAATAAACAAACAAAGCATGCCAGCAGGAGAGGAGTGGTTTAGAGAAAAGTGAGCAGGGGTTGGTGGGGGGCTGGGGTGTCACTGTTTTGTGCAGGTGACCTACTGATGATGCCAGAGAGACCTGAAGGAAATGGGGGCTGGCCTGGTCTCTCAACCCTGCTGAGGGTTCTTTGCAACACTCCATGCTACCCACTGGTACTCAAGCTCCTTCTGCTCTACCCTGAGCTAGGCCTGATATAATGGTTGACAGACAAAACTATCTTTTAAAAAATTTTTTTATGTTTCTGTCTTTTCCTGTGTCCTCACATGGCAGAGAGAAGCAGCAAGAGACGGCCAGACAAAACATCTTAATGGGATACTTAGTCTCTTTGTTTCATTCAAGAGGGATCTACCAAAAGGGATCACCTCCTACAAATGCTAAATGGGTTTAAGGTTTATACAGCAGCTCATGTGGGTTCAGGGATGCACAGGCATTTCCCAACGTGTCATCATCCCTGGTTCTGATAAAATCCAGAGTGGGGCCTGTAAATCAGAGGGCTTCACCCCTGAACCCACAGCAGCACCACCAAGACACAGTGTCCCCACTGTGCACAAGATTACAGCTTCTCTCTTGCTGCCCTTTCAATATACCAGTCCTTACTCAAGCACACAAAAACTGTGCTTTTGCCCCTGGCATTTGAGAAGTTTGTGAATAGACACCAGCACTTGGATATTGATTTTTCACACGATGGTGACTTTTAAATTCCTCTATTGCTCCTGACTGAGTTTAGCAACCTCTTGACTATTCTGGAAAACCAAAGAACTTCGGAAACAATCAAACAAATATTAAATTCAATCACCCAGCAACACTGGGGAGGCAAATGAAATTTTA
This sequence comes from Homo sapiens, assembly GCF_000001405.40. Taxonomy (NCBI): domain Eukaryota; kingdom Metazoa; phylum Chordata; class Mammalia; order Primates; family Hominidae; genus Homo; species Homo sapiens. The sequence continues at coordinate 68,200,137 of NC_000012.12, forward strand.
CTCCTAAGAATCTAAAGCCCCCATAGTAAATATTTCTTTGCTGGCTGGCAAATGAATGTTTCTCAGCCCTTCTCATGTCTGGAGACACCAAGTAATGGGACAGCTCTTAAGCTGTCCCCATGGTTTGTGACCAAGACTGGGGGCTACTTTGGCCTTCGTGGAAGTCCAGCACACTTCAACTGAGCTGCCAGTGGTGCCGAATCCTGGAAAATGCTGAGAGCCCTAAAAGTGGATCAAGGAAAGGCTGTCAGTGCATCATCTCCCCCAGTCCTTGGCAAAGCCAGGGAGCAGGGTCCTGATCCCCCAGATTCCAGCTCTTCCTAATGTTTCTCAGGAAAGAAGACTGCCCTGCTGCTGATGGCCCAGGAGCCTGCCCAGAAAGCTCTGGGTAAAAAGCAAGATGAAAAGAGTCCTCCAGTCTCCCCTCACCAATGCCCTGCAGCTCACCACACCTTTCCTGTCCTGTATACTTGTCTAGGAATGACATCCCCAGAAGAGATCAGGCATGGTACCACAGTGTGTTGATGGGGAAAGGCAGAAAGGGATCACTTTGGAATATGAAATCAATCAAGAGAGGGTAGTTCCTAGGGAACAGCCTAATGACCCCAAGACTGAAACGAAGACCTAGGTGGTGGGAAAGCAATGAAGAGAAAAGCTTCTAGAGACATAATCCATGAAGACCTTGGTGAAGTCCCACCTATTAATACAAAAGGTGCCAAGTCCCAGAATTGTCAGAGTGCAGCAGGGGCACAATGAAAGCCTTGTGGGAATGAATTGGCTGGTGGCCTAGGATGTGCCATCAGAAACTATTCCTGTTTTCCATGCTGTATGCCAATAGCACTGAGCAGAGTCCCTTTAAGGCAAAACAATGGTTAGGCCATATTACTCATTTAACTGAAGGGCTAAGTATGTAGATGGGGTTTTTAGACATTATGAAAAGTTGACTGTGGTGGAATTTGAACTGCATTTAGCCTTTCATTCGGCTTCTATGAACTTTCCTAGTTGTACGGCACCCTGAAGCTGTGTTATCAAGATTCACCATCATTTGATCTTGGTTGCTTGTGGTCTTAGTGGCTTGGGTTTCCTGTCAAAGGCATTCCTGGTAAATTATTCCAAGGGTTAGTTACTTTGTGCATCTTATTTGCTGTTATCTTGTAGTTACCCCTTGCACTCCATGAAATTCTAGCATGCTGTCATGAAAAGGACACCCAGGAGAAGGAAACCCAATTTATTTAATTAAAATCAAAATGTGTTAAGTACTAAGTTCACACTGGGCATAATTAACAATTTTCAAACACTTAAACAGACAATCATATACATAACATCTATTTAAGTCTCAGTAACATTACATTGCATTCCAGAAATCTGTCATTCCCCCTCCACCCCCCACATCCCACTCCACACACAAATATTACACGAGTTAATTCAGGTTACATACTTTAAATTAAGTTGACACAATGTACTTGTGAATGACAAAACATGTTCAGAATGGAAACATTATTTGAAAACACAGAAAATGTGCAAATTAGTGACAACTTATATCCAAAACGTTAATTTACTAAATCCTTCTTGTCTATTCTGAATCACCTAACATGCCGTCAGTATTATGTTAAAAAGTTTTTAAAAGAAATAGACTGTTATAAACATATTTCTAGCAGTTCTTATTGTATTTCAAAATAACTGTAAAATCAATGTACTTGGCTTTGGTTTACTGACTGCTTTCCAATAATTTTTTAATCCAGGAAAGAAGAATATCCAGTTCACTGATGGCTTTGTAGATTCCTTTGTTTCCAATCTGCAGATAAAGTACAGATATAAGAGAATAAATTTTTCCTATTTTAAAAAACAAAGTTTTTTAATATAAGGATTTAGAATTCTTACCCTATAAAATATTCTTTTCATCCTGGTAATGGATTTCATCTCTCTAGCTGATGAAGCACAGGAAATCTAAGAAATCAACAGTAATTACAGATAATATTGTTGAAGAGGCATTAATGATACTCTTTCATTCATTCAACAAATATTTATAGAGCAGGTATTATGTGCTGAGCACTAGATATGCACTGGCAAAATAAATAATGCATGATCTTTTTCCTCACAGAGCTTAAAGTTTCATGGGAAAGCAGATGACAAATAAAACAAAAACAAAAATTTACAAATTACAATTAAAGCTGTGTTAGCAACTCTCGAAACTCTATGACAGGGATTTATAGGAACCGCCTACCTTCAACTGGGTGGTCAAGGAGGGGTCTTTTGAAAAATGACATTTGTATTAGCCCATTTTCACACTGCTATAAATAACTACCCGAGACTGGGTAATTTATAAAGAAAAGAAGTTTAATTGACTCACAGTTCTGCATGGCTAGAGAGGCCTCAGGAAACTTACAATCACGGCAGAAGGTGAAGGGAAACCAAGGCACATCTTACCTGGTGGCAGGAGAGTGAGCAGAGGGGGAAGTGCCATACTTTTAAACCATCAGATTTCATGAGAATTCATTTACTGTCATGAGAACAGCACAGGAGAAACCTCCCCCATGATCCAATCACCTCCCGTCAGGTCCCTCCCTCCACATTTGGGGATCACAATTCAAGATGAGATTTGGGTGGGGACACAGAGCCAAACCATATCAACATTTAAGTTGAGATAACAGAAATGGGAAGGCACAGGCTATATGAGAAACTGAGGAAAGGAGAGAGAAAGTTGGGGAGAAGACACAAGAGAGTAATTCAGGCAGAGGAAAATATGCTCCTCCGAGGCAAGAGAAAGCTCAGTGCTTTCCAGAAACTGAAAGAAAGCAAGCAAGCATGGCTGGAGCAATTAAGCAAGAGAAATGTGGGAAGCATGAAGGACATGAGAATGACAAGAAAAAAAAATTACCTTTTAAAAAATCACTCTGCCTATCATGTACAAAGCACAGAACAATGTTCAGTGTAGACTACAAGGAGAAGGCACCTAGGACATTAAATATTACTTTCGAAATTAGGAGAAGCAGCAGGCTAGTATCTCGAGCAGCTGGCTTGTAGGCTGGCTGGCCAGGGGAAACTACCAGTCCGCTTTGTGCAAGTGAATTCTCAAACCCTATCTGAGCACAGGAATCACCTGGGCGTCAAACAGGAGAAAGTTAATATCCTACTCTATTCTCCCACAAATTTCTATAGGACTAATAAAGGAAAAGAAAGGAAAGAAAATGTGAAAATGCCTAATTTATCTACTTAGTTTTTACTCATAAAACTTTTAGCACTGGAATAGACCAAGGAGATTGAATAAGCCGATTGTTTGCACTTTGCAGAAAGGGAGACCAAGGCCCAGGTAGTTAAGTCACTCACCTAACATCCCACAGGGAGTCCTATGCTCGTGACAAAATAGTGTCACTATCTAACAGTTAAAGATAAGAGTTAAAACTCGTGAAACGGAAGTGGGTAAATGATAACATTTAGTCTCTAAATGTCCTCTCGACAAAAGAATGTCATATCAATAAAGATAACACTTAGTTCAAACACTTGAAATGAAAGTGGCTAAATGATAACATCTATCAAAATGCTGAGGTCAACCAACAGGTCTCTTCAGGGGTGTTCATGGTGGTGACGGTTTTCTGGCTCTGCCCAAATTGGGATGCTACCTTCAGATCAGACCCTGCATAGGAGGGAAGAGACTCTTCCTGTGAAAGGGGCTTTCATGATTAGGCACAGCAGACTGCTGTGATCAAGGGGCTGCAGACACAGACTGCTCAGCTTAAGGTACAGTTTGCAGGATTCATGAACACAGGGTTAGACCTCACTGTGATAAGAGCCCTGACTTCAGAATGCTTTCTAGGTGTATTTCATGTTACATTTGCACCAAACTATACAACATGGGATTCTTTCTCTGGGATGAGTGGAATGTTCTAATCTGTCATTAGTGCATCTGTGAATGCTCAGTAAAACTTCATCCTAATATTTAATGCATAGAATCCTTTTTAAAAGTAGTTCCTCATGTTTCTAAAATCATGTGTTAGGATTCAAAGATTTTTTTTTTTTTTTTTTTTGAGGCAGAGTCTTGCTCTGTCTCCCAGGCTGGAGTGCAGTGGCGCAATCTTGGCTTACTGCAAGCTCCACCCCCGGGGTTCACGCCATTCCCCTGCCTCAGCCTCCCGAACAGCTGGGAATACAGGCGCCCTCCACCACGCCCGGCTGATTTTTTGTATTTTTAGTAGAGATGGGGTTTCACCGTGTTAGCCAGGATGGTTTCGATCCACTGACCTCATGATCTGCCCGCCTCGGCCTCCCAAAGTGCTGGGATTACAGGCATGAGCCGCCGCGCCTGGCCAGGATTTAAAGATTTAACACTGAAGGTAAGAGACCAAAGAACCAGCCACATTCTGGACACTACCGAAGTTAAATAAAACAGGCATTCCTGTCAACTGTGTCTTCTACCTGGGAAACTTGGATGTGCAATGCATCCCACAGCAGGTGGGAAGTGCCAGAGAGGTTTTGTCCCTCACTCACACCAAAGGCACATGCTACTCTAGGAAGAGTAATGAGAGTCAAAAAGGAGGAAAACACTGTTCAATTAAAAAAAAAAACTAGCAGTGCCAGTGTTGCCACACAACTGCACTCTGGTTGAAGGAATGCTTCCCGGTGCCTTGAGCACTGCTTACTACGAGTGACCCCTAGTAAAGATCTGATCTACAGAGTTCTCATTTTCTTTATACTGTTGTAAATGTGTCCACAGGTCCAGTAGGATGGCAGATTTTACTGCCGTAATTCAGATTGCTTTGCTTGGAAAGAGGAATTTATTCAAAGAATGATTTCCTTTTCTTTATATTTTTGAGTCTAGCTGCAGCGGCTGAAATTACAATGTGTGATAAAGGGTCAGCAGTTTTATCATAAGAATGGCTGAACGATTTGACAAACTCAACAGAAGCTGATATGATCTGGACCAGAGGCAAATTATTGGTAGGGCTAGAATAACTAGAAATCAGCTCAGAGAAAAATGTGAGATAATCATGTCATAGGAAACATTCATTCTTTATTATTAAGTCAATATATATTTATCACATACTTACTATATGCTAAGCATACAGCAATGCCTCTGCCATATAGCACTGATTTACTGTTGACAATGAATGATTTACAGTTGAACAATGCTGGATAACGTTAGGTGCACTGACCCCCCGCCCCACCAATGAAGTTAAAAACCTGCGTAAAACATTAGACCCCCCCCAAATTAAACTAATAGCCTACAGTTGACCGGAAGCCTTATTGATAACATGATTAATCAATTAACACATATTTTGTGAGATAGATAGATAGATTGTATTTTTATAATGAAATAAGCTGTAGAAAAGACAATGTAACTAAGAAAATCATAAGGAAGAGAAAATATATTTACTAATCATTAAGTGGAAGTGGATCATCATAAATGTCTTCATCCTTGCCATCTTCATGTTCAGCAAACTAAGGATAAGGAGGAAGTGGAGGAGTTGGTCTTGCCATCTCAGGGATGGCAGAAGCAAAAGAGGTGGAGGAAGTGGAAGGGGAGGCAGGAGAGGCAGGCACTTGGTGTAACTTTAAGGAAATACATAGTAATTTCTGTCTGACTTTTTTAATTTCTCTAAAAATATTTCTATACAGTACTAACCCTTCTTCCACCATTTGCTTTAGTTTCAGTCCTCGTATCATAGAAAAGTTCATGTCATAAAAGAAGTTAAAACCACTCTTGAATAATTGGAACCCTTATGCCAATTGTCTAATGTCAATTTGTTTTCTGGGATTGCTTCTTCTATGTCTTCTTCCTCATCGTCTGGCACTGGTTCAGAAACACTCATCTCCATCAAGTCGTCTTCTGCTAATTCCTGTGGTGCAGTGTCTACTAGCTCTTGAATTTCTCCAAGATCCATATCTTGATATCTTCAACCTGCTCCTGCCCCCACCATCTTTTTGCCATAGACACAATCTATTTTGTGATTTCTTTGATTAGTTCTGTTGTAAATTCTATGAAGTTATGTACGACATCTGAACACACTTTTCTCCAGCAGGAATTTATTGTTTCAGGCTTGATGACTTTCATGTTTTTTTCTATAACAATGATAGCATCTTCAATAGTGTAATCTAAACTTTGATGATGTTCCCTCCATTGGTGTTCTCTTCCATATTGTTGACAATCCTTTTTGTAGAATACCACATGTAATGAGCCTAAAAGGTCTTTATGACCCCTTGATCTAGAGGCTGAATTAGAGATGTTGTATATGGGGGCAAGTAGATTACTTCAGTGCCTTCTGTGTTTAATTCTTCGGGTTCTGGGTGGCCAGGAGCATTGCCCAATATCAAAAAAACGTTAAAAGGCAGTTGCTTACTGGCAAGGTACTTCCTGACTTCAGGAACAAAGCACCAATGGAACCAATCCATAAAAAAATGTTCTCATTTTCTGGGCCTTCATGTTGTACAATGGAAAGACTGGCAGCTGGTGTTTATCTCTTCCCTTCAAGGCTCAGAGGTTAGCAGCTTTACAAATAAGGGCAGTCCTGATCATAAACCTGACTGCATTTGCACAAAACATTAAAGTTAGCCTATTCCTTCCTGCCTTAAAATCCTGGTGCTCACTTCTTTACTGATAAATGACTGTAGCATTGTTTTCCAGAATAGGACACTTCCATCTACATCAAAAACCTGTTCAGGCAGATACCCTTCCTTCCCAGTGATTGTTTTAATGGCATCTGGGAACTTGTCTGCTGCCTCTTGGTTGGTAGAAACTGTTTCTCTTGTTATCTTGACAGTTTTTTTAAGCCAAATGTCTTTCTAAAATTTTCAAACCATCCTTTGAGGGCATTAAATTCTGCAGCTGTAGATCCTTCATCTTTCTTTTGTTTTAAATTGTCATATAATGACTTCACTTTTTCTTGAATCATATCAGGGTCTATAGATGTGCCTTTCTTTTAGCAGTCCTACACCCACATGAAAGCTGCATTTTCAATAGGAGATTTTTAAAAAGGTGTTTCTGGAAAAGTGCAAGGTTTTCACACCTGCTGGTGTAGCTGTAGCAGGGGATTCAGAAATTTCCTTTTCTTTTTTCACAATGGTCCTTATCCTGGACTTGTCAGGCAACCTCAGCTGCATACCTCACTCTGTGGTACATATCAAGCAGTTCAACTTTTTCTTGTAATGTCATGACTTTTCTCTACTTCTTGGGAGCACTTCCAGCATCACCAGTGGCACTTTTTGTGGCACCCATGGTATTATTCAAGATTTATGATATTGCACAAAACACAGTGAAAAATACACAAGAGACCACTTTTTACTGCAATGGGCAATTTACTACAGTGACAAACTGCTCACATGAAGATAATTAACATTATACAGCATTTTAAGTGGATATTCACAGCACTTGAGCATACTACAATAGCAACAGGAGGTGGCTACAGAATTATTATAGTAGTACAGCATTACCACAAGTAATTTTGTGCAGCTAATTATCTTCATGTGAGCAGTTTGTCTCTACTCACATTACTCATTGGTAATGTGCAATTTACATGCAATTTGAACACATTGATTGGTAGAAGCAGTTTCTACCAACCAAAAGGCAGCAGACAGGTTCCCAGTTGCCAGATGCTTTAATATTGTATCTTTACCTTTGTTTACAAACCAAATGGCTCCATATATGGTCTGTAAGTGTCTGTGTGTATAGGTTTTGATACATTTTAACTTTTTATAATAGATTTGTGGATACTTCATGGTAGCAAATGATAAAATAGACTAGTACATACATATATTTTATGCATTAATGACATATTTTTCTTAATTTTTCCATATTTCTAGGATACACATCTCATCTGCAAGTTTGTCAAATTGTTACAAATCTCCAAAAAATTGTCTAGTGTATTTATTGAAAAACAAAACCACATGTAAGTTGACCTATGCAGTTCAAACCTATATTTAATGCACAAAAGTACCCTGCATGAAAATCACCCCAGGGTACACTTGAGGCCTCACAGTCTGCCAAGACACAGAGTGATGCACAATTACAATTCTATATGACAAATACTGTGATTAAAACAAAAACATGACTGCTCCAGGAGACAGAGGAGAGGTAACCTCTGAAGTCTTCCAGAAGAAAAAAAGTGACTTGTGTCTTGAAAGATGAGTGGAAAAAGCAGGAAGAAGAGATGAGTAGGCAGGGAAGCAAGGTGTTCAAAGGCTGGAGAGCGCAGAGATAATTTAAACACCCTTCAGGTCTCAGCTGAATACCTCGGACTAAATCCAAGTTATGGCCCCGAACCTCCACCTCTGCTGCAGCACATCCTCCTATGTGCTCCCTTTGCAGCACCAATCACAACTTGAGACTAGCCAAGATGGGAAGAAAGCATTTTCTTTCTTTCTTTCTTTCTTTGTTTCTTTTTTCTTGAGACGGAGTTTCACTCTTGTGGCCCAGGCTGGAGTGCAGTGGCGCGCGCAATCTCAGCTCACTGCAACCTCCGTATCCTGGGTTCAAGCAATACTCCTGCCTCAGCCTCCCAAGTAGCTGGGATTACAGGCACCCACCACCACGCCTGGCTAATTTTATATTTTAGCAAAGATAGGGTTTCACCATGTTGGCCAGGCTGATCTCGAACTCCTGACCTCAAGTGATCCACCCGCCTCTGCCTCCCAAAGTGCTCGGATTACAGTGTGAGCCACCACGCCCAGCCAGCATTTTCAATGAGCTCTATGAGGACAGAAGTATTGTCTGTCGATTTTCATTGAGTCCCCTGCATCTGGAATAGTGTTCAGCAAATACTAAATAATAAACATTTGCTGAATAAATCAATCAACAAATAAAATGCAGGCATCGACTTACTGCCTCAGGGTCCACAAGCCTACTTGTTTCTTAAAAATTTGAAGCATGGCCTAGACATTAGTGACCCTTATAACTTTGTCTAAAACAATCAGATAAACAAGCAATACAATCCTTAGTTTTTTCCAATTTCCTTATGTGTTCAAAAAAATCATACAAATTTGTATTGCATATGATGGCTAAAGCAAAAATGGAAAACCTCTACTGATTGTTGGGGTAATCAGACCCAACACCGGGTCGTGGGGGCAACGAAGTCCAGTGGAGTCAAAGGAATGAGAAAAGACAGTTTGAGAGAGAAAGTGAGTCCAGGGGGCCAACACGAGTACGGAGGCTGCAAAGGCCCTGAGCTCTGGAAGCCCAGACTATTTATTGGTGATCAAACAAAGAAACAGGTGGTGAGAATGTGGGGTTGAAAGGGAGCATTGCATTAAGCACATGATTTACAGCTGTGACAGTTTAGCATATGCTCTGCTACTTGAGATAATGGAGAGTAGGTTCTTTTAACTCAAGATACAATCGATCCTGGGAGAGCAAGGAGCCGACAAGTCTAGACACATTCCAGAGGCCACGAGGGGTTTTATGCCCTGAGCCCTGGATGCTATCCTAGCCCCTACGGGTTTTATGCCCTAGGCTTAGATTATGGTGCGTCAGGGTAGCCTTCCACCCTTTTGCACAGAGCTTGGTGTTCCAAAAGCCGTGAGGGGTTTTAGACTCTGGACCCTGCACATGTTCCAAGACTCTTTTACATTATATCAGACATGCAAGCCCCCGCCTCAGCTTCTCCCAACACTCAGCTTTTACCCCAACACCAATAATTTGAGGAAAGGAGATAGTGGGTTATGAGTCGACAGCTACATGTGTCACGGTTCCTCAGAGAATTAACTGCCCAGACTGCATTCTCACGGAGAATGGCCTCAAATCCTCTCTCGACAAAAAGGATTTTATTAGATTATACTCTATCATATTATAAATATACAGCCAGAGGGTAAGTGAAAAACCATACATAAGACCTTCATTTTTATAGACCTCAATATACAACTTCAGACTGGATCATAACCACCCTTCTTGTTGTTTTTTGTTTTTTTAGTTGACCTTAATGGCTAAGATGGTTTCTACTGTGACCACAGCCTTGGTTTCTTGAAAGTTTTTCTTCTCCAAAATACAGATGATAGATAAGAGTGACAGATAAGAGATTCAACTAAAGACTAAACTTAATTTTATTGTTTTACTGCAGATACAGACTCTTAAGCAGATCTTATTCACTGACTTTTTGCACAGTTGTTCACATGGGGTCCTACAAATATTATCTGAAGTGCTTTTAAAGCCATACTTGAGAAAATTATGCTAGTATAATGTTTAAAAAATAGACTAAATAAATAAATATCAGTTTGGCAAAAAAAAAAAAAAAAAAAAAAAAAAAAAAAAAAAAAAAAAAAAAACAGCACAAGCACTAGGACACCAACACAAAACTACTGACACCAGAAAGATTTATAGGAAACTTTGAAAGAAAACAACAAAATTAGCATAATTTGAAGAAAGCATGATTAGATTTACAAGCAAGTTTTCATGAAAGTAGAAAAGAGGGACTAAATTATTAGCCAAGTGTCTCTCTGCGAAACCAAATTCATAATCAGACATTTAATTTTAATAAAAAGACAAATATCCAACAACTCAGTAGATATTGAACAGAAAAGTTTACAAAACATCATTATCCAATTTCTATATTCTCTATAACTACAAAGATCATCTGATATAGGTAAGCTAGCTTACCTAGAATAATCTTAAACCCTTGTAAGACATTTCTTCATGTTCCAACCATAGAAAAAAATTAGAAAGAGTTTTTTTAATACTTTAAATACAAATAGATACTATAGTAGGATAACATTAGTGCAGGTTTTTACATTTTTCAGTGTTATTGTCATTCATCAGAATTAGTTCACACAATTTAGCATGTGAATTAAATTCCGAACTCAGCAATAGAGCTGCACCCCATAATTTTTTATTGAGACATAATAGATGTAAATATTTTCAGGGTACATGTGACATTTTGATGCATTCATATAATGTGTTATGATTAAATCAGGGTAACTTCCTCCCACTGTATTTTTGAGCCCATTAATCAACCTCTCTTCATCTTGCCACACCCCTACCTCTCCCAGCCTCTGCTCACACTCAACCTATTCACTGTCTTCATGAGATCCACTTTATTAGCTCCCACAAATGGGTGAGAACAGGAAATAGTTGTCTTTCCATGCCTGGCTTCCTTCACTTAACGTAAAAACCTCTGTTCCATCCATGTTGCTGCAAATGACAGAATTTCATTTTTTTCATTATACCACATTTTCTTTATCCATTCATCCATTGATGAGCACTTAGATTGATTCCATATGTTGGCTACTGTGGCTAGTGCTGAATAAACATTTGAGTGCAGGTTATCTCTTCAAGAAATTGATTTCCTTTCTTTAGGATATATATCCAGTAGTGAGATTGCTGAATCACATGGTAGTTATACTTTCAGTTTTTTGAGGAGCTTCCATACTGTTTTCCATAGCGGTTATACTAGTTTACATTCCCACCAACAGTGTGCCAGGGTTCCCCTTTCTCTACCTCCTTCCCAGCATCACTACTGCCTTTTAAGTTATAGCCATTCTAACGGGGGTGAGATGGTATCTCACTGTGGTTTTGATTTGCATTTCTCTGATTAGTGATATTGAGTATTTTGATATGCCTGTTGGCCATTTGTATGTCTATTCAGATCTTTTTCCCATTTTTAAATCAGATTATTTGCTTTTTGCTATTGAGTTCTTTGAGTTCCTCATATATTCTGATTAGTCCCTTGTCAGACGGATAGTTGCAAATATTTTTTCCGATTCTGTAGGTTGCCTTCTTACTTTGTCGATTGTTTCCTTTGCTGGGCAGAGGATTTTTAGCTTTACATAATCCCATTTGTCTATTTTTTTCTTTGGTTGTCTGTACTTTCGAGGACTTACTCAAAAAAAAATCTCTGCCCAGACCAATGTCCTGAAGTGTTTCCTCAAGTTTTCTTCCAATAGTTTCATAGTGTTAGGTCTTATATTGGGCTCCAATCCATTTTGATTTTATTTTTCTATACTGTGAGAGATAGGAGTTTAGTTTCATTTTTCTGCATATGGTTATCGAGTTTTCCCAGCATCATTTATTGAAGAGACTGTTCTTTCCCTCAATGTATATTCTTGGCACCTTTGTCAAAATATGAGTTGGCTGTAAATGTATGGATTTATTTCTGGGTTCTCTATTCTTTTCTATTGGTCTATGTTTTTTGTTTTTAATGCCAGTACCATGCTCTTCTGGTTACTATAGCTTTATAGTATGTTTTGAAGTCAGGTAGTGTGATGCTTCCAGCTTTGTTCTTTTTGCTCAGTATTGCTTTGGCTTTTGGGGGGTCTTTTGTGGTTCTGTGGTTCCATGTAAATTTTACCATGTTTTTCTATTTCTGTGAAGAATGCTAGAAGTATCTTGATAGAAATTGCATTTAATCTGTAGATAGCTTTGGGTAGTATTGATATTTTAGCAGTATTATTTCTTTCAATGAAGGAGCATTGAATATCCATGTTTTGTGTGTGTGTCCTCTTCAATTTCATTGTTTTATACACAATTTCATCAATGTTTTATAGTTTTTCTTATAGAGATCCTTCACTTCCTTGGTTAAATTTATTCCTAGTTATCTTATATTTTTGCAGCTATTGTAAATGGGATTGCTTTTTTATTTCTTTTTTATATTGTTCACTGTTTGCATGCATAAATGCTATTGATTTTTGTATCCTGCAAATTTACGGAATTTTTTTTATCAGTTCTAACAGTTTAGGTAGAGTCTTTAGGATATTTTGAATATAAGACCATGTCATCTGTGAAAAAGCATAATTTAACTTCTTCCTTTTCAAATTGAATGCACTTTATTTCCTTCTCTTGATTATTTGCTGTGACTAGGACTTTCAGTATTATGTTGAATAAAAGTGGTGAAAGTGGTCAAACTTGTCCTGTTCCAGATGATAGAGGAGAGGCTTTCAATTTTTCCCCATTCAGTGTGATGTTAGCTCATCATAAATGGCTTTTATTGTTCTGAGGTATGCCCCTTCTATATCTAGTCTGTTAAGGGTTTTTATCATAAAGGGATATAAATTTTATTGAATACTTTTTCAATATCTATTGAAATGATCATATGGTTTTTGTTCTTGGTTCTTTTCATGTATCACATTTATTGATTTGCACATTTTGAGCCATCCTTGCATCCCTGGGATGCATCCAGCCTGATCTGGTGAATGATCTTTTCAATGTGTTGTTGAATTTGGTTTGCTAATATTTTTGTGAGGATTTTTGTGTTTGTTTTCATTAGAAACATTGGCCTGCAGTTTTCTCTTTTTTGTTGTGTCCTTGTCTGATTTATATCAAGGTACAACTGGACTCACAGAATGAGTTTGGAAATATGCTCTTCTCTTTAATTTTTTAAGAGTTTGGGTAGAATTGGAATTAATTCTTTTTAAAATGTTTGGTAGAACTCAGCACTGAATCCATTATGTCCTGGGTTTACTTTAATACAAGACTTTTGTTACAGCTTCAATCTTGTTACTCATTATTGGTTTGTTCAGGTTGTCTTTCTTCATGGCTTAATCTTGATAGGTTGCATGTGTCTAGTAATTTATCCATTTCTTCTAAGTTTTCCAATTTGTTAACATATAATTTTCCGTAATATTCTGTAATTCTGTAATAGTTATTTGTATTTCTGTGGCATCAGTTGTTATGTCTCTTTTTTCATCTCTGATTTTATTTTGTATTTTCTCTCTTTTTCTTAGCTAAATGTCCACTGTTTATCTTTTCAAAAAAACCAATTTTTTATTTTATTGCACTTCCCTATTGTTTTGTAGGCTCAATTTCATTTGTTTCTGCTCTGACATTTATTAGTTATTTCCTTCTACTAAATTTGGTTTGTTCTTACTTTCCCAGTTCCTTCAGATACATTATTAGTTGTTTATTTGAAGTCTTTCTACTTTTTTGAGGTAGGCATTTACTGCTATAAACTTCCCTCTTAGGACTGCTTTTGCTGTATCCCATAGGTTTTGGTATATTGTGTTTCCACTTTTATTTATTTTAAGACATTTTTAAATTTCCATCGTAATATATTTACTGACTCATCGATTGCTCAGGAGCATATTATTTAATTTCCATGAGTTTTCGTAGTTTCCAAGATTCCTCTTGTTGTTTATTTCTGTTTTATTCCATTGTGGTCAGAAAAGATACTTGACATAATTATGACTTTTTGAATGTGCTGACACTTGTTTGGTAGCCTAAAATATAGTCTTTCTGGAGAATGTTCCATGTGCTGATGAAAAGAATGTGTATTCTGTAGCAGTTGGGTGAATTATTCTGTGAATGTCACATCGGCCCATTTGGTTTAATGTGTAGTTTAACTTTTCCTGTCTAAATGATCTGTCCATTACTAAGATTGGAGTGTTGAAGTCCTCTGCTATTATTGTATTGCAGTCTAGCTCTCCCTTTAGATCTATTAATGCTTGCTTTATATACTTGGGTGCTCTTATGTTGCATGCATAGATATTTATAATTGTTATATCCTCTAGCTGAATTAACCTCTTTATCATTATATAGTGACTTTCTACCCTCTTTTTACGGACTTTGGCTTGTAGTCTATCTGATAAAAGGATAGCTAGTCCTGCTCTTTTTTTGGTTTCCATTTGCATGGAATATCTTTTATCCATTCCTTAACTGTCAGTCTATGTGAGCCTTTATAGGTGAAGCAAGTTTCTTATAGGTGGCATATTGTTTGGTCTTGTTTCTTTATCCATTCAGCCACTCTGTCATTTAATTAGAAAATTTAGTCCACTTACATTCAATGTTATCATTGATAGGTAAAAACTTACTACTGACATTTTGTTACCTGTTTTATGTTTTTTTTTTTTTATTTCATTTTGTTTTTTTTAACTCCTCTCTTCCTTTCTACTGTCTTCTGTGGTTATTTTCTTTGGCAGTATGTTTTATTTTGTTGCTCTTAATTTTTAGTGCATTTATTATAGTTTTTGCTTTGTGGTTACCACGAGGCTTACAAAAAAACCTCTTATAAATATAACGAGTTATTTCAAACAGATGACAACTTATATTTGATCAAAATAAAAAGGGACTAGAAACAAACCAAGGAAAAACTTTTAAAAACTATACTTTAACTCCATCCCCCAACACACACACATTTTGACTTTTTGTTGAGGCAGGTATAGGTATCCTACCCAGGAGCTCAAGATGATGGGAAAGCTGATTGTCCACCTCAATCCCACGTTTTCCAGTGTAGTAATTGTGAGTTGGGAGAAAATTTTCCCTGTGCTTGGTGCCTGGCAGATTGGGGGAGGGGCATTGTGGATGTAAAATTCCAATTCTGTTACTATCTGCCCAAAATTTTTTCACTTCTCTGAGGCCTCAGGAACTGTCTTATCCTCATATATTAGCATTCTGGGATATTGCTGGTGATAATCATAGTGCTGTGTATTTGTTTTTGGTTTTCAGGATGCAGAAGAAGGGATAGTGAAGCCAGCTTGCTTTTTCTCCGTCATTTTTCATGCCTCACAATTTTGACAGAGAAATTATGTATCATTAACCAAGAAATGAATTTGTCAGCAAAACAATTCAATAACATAATTAGAAAATACCTTTACCAAAGTTAAAACCAATTACTCATAATTTATTTATCTTTTTTTCTTGAGACAGAATCTCCCTCTGTTGCTGAGGCTGGAGAGCAGTGGTGCAATCTTGACGCATTGCAATCTCAGCCTCCTGGGTTCAAGTAATCCTCGTGCCTCAGCCTCCTGAGTAGCTGGGATTATAGGCATGCACCCCATATCCAGATAACTTTTTATTTTTATTTTTATTTTTGTTTTTAGTAGAGACAGGGTTTCACTATGTTGGCCAGGCTGGTCTCAAACTTCTGGCCTCAAGTGATCTGCCCACCTCAGCCTCCCAAAGTGCTGGGATTACAGGCATGAGCCACCATGCTCAGCCTATTTATCTTTAAATTAAACTACTGCTGGCCAGGCGTGGTGGCTCACGCCTGTAATCCCAGCACTTTGGGAGGCTGAGGTGGATGGATCACAAGGTCAGAAGATCGAGACCATCCTGGCCAACATGGTGAAACCCCATCTCTACTAAAATACAAAAAATTAGCCAGGCATGCTGGCACACGCCTGTAGTCCCAACTACACAGGAGGCTGAGGCAGGGGAATCGCTTGAACCCAGGAGGTGGAGGTTGCAGTGAGCCAAGATTGCACCACTGCACTCCAGCCTGACAACACAGCAAGACTCCGTCTCATAAAAAAATAAATAAGCTACTACTATAAATTATACACATTATACAATATAATACTAATTTTAAGCACTAAAAAAGTATCTGATTACTTAAGAGAACCACTCCTTCGTAAATTGTTGAGAAAATGTAATTGGAATAAAAATTAATGTTCTGTGCATGAAAAGCAATAAAGGAAGCACTAACAATTCTGCAGAACTACTACATGCTAGGTACTTAATTCTCCCAACGACCTTAAGATGAGGCTACTGTTATTGAAGACACAGGTTTTAGACTTTGCAGCTGATAAAAGAATAAGACAGGATTGGTCTCACTCTTGCTTTATCAGTTCAACCAGTTGCAATTTTTACAATTTTAAATTACAGGGATGAATGAATGGTATTATTTTACAAGTTGATAAGCTATTTGCAATTGATGATACAAGTTACTTATTAAACAGTCTACAAAAAATGGAAACACAATATTCTGTTTGCCAATTTTTGCCAGACTTTAAAATTAATTACATGCAACCGACATGAAGAAATGTGTCTCTCTAAATACCAATTACTGTTCAGGCTCTCAAAATGTTAATTAAAGTAGACGATGAAATCTTAAAAACTAACAGAAATTATTTTCATTTCTATTTTGATCACTAGCAATTAGGTAAATTATTTTATGAATCCAATAAGGTGACTGCTAAATTCTCTTTCAAGTCTGAGAGTATTTGAGTTCTGTAAGAATCTCTAAAATGTCTTCTTACATAAACAATTTTCCAAATATTATGGCTAGGAAAGAGTATAAACATAAAGAAGTTTACATTACACATAACTTATTTTTTGAACAATTATACTATCTGACTTACCCAAATCAAACTAATTGGAAAATATATTTTATTAGGTGCTGCAAAATGCTTAGAATGTCACCAGAAGCAATGAGAGGATGTCCAAATACAGTGGTACTGGGAATTCCAGTCCTTGGAGTCTATCATGATAATTTGTCATGCTGTTTTATCTTAAGAGTGGCTCAAGAAAACGGACTTGCAAGGAAGCCCAAAAGGCAGGTACCTTAGAGAAATCAGATAAGCTTCACAAAAATAAGAAATAATTTCATGAGTTAATAATGAAACAGAGAAAATGACAACAAAATTAATAATTCATTGGTCATTATGGGAGAAAATCAGAAAACCAACCACTTATGTTGAAAGCTAGCAAATAAAGGAAGATAATTAAGTATTTAACCTGGCTTTCTTATATGATAAGTTCCTCAGAACATCCAAATAGGAGTAGATTCTATTTATTGAATTATCCCAGCTTATGAGTAAAGAAGATAAAATAGAATTTAAAAATTATTATTTTGTAGTGCCTTATGAATTAACGGATCTAGACAATAATTGTCAGGGGTTGTTATCATCGTAAAAATAAAGATCATACATCATGTGAC